>NC_000020.11:5066335-5217850 GCF_000001405.40 Homo sapiens | reverse complement strand
TTTGGGAATAAATCTGTTTATTCCTAGAACTAACTATGACTCATCTTCATATCCATGCCGATGCAAATGCAGTGCCTTTATTGTGCCCAATGGTTGATGAAATGACAAACTATGCAGATAAAGCATTCTTTTCTAAACCTTTCCTATTTGGCACTCTATTAATGTGTATGACAACTCTGTCCAAATGATAAAAGGATAGACCCTTCAGACATGACTCCTTGAAGGACACAAGACAAGGTGAGCTGGGCTACATTTTGGTCTCCATGGCCCCAGGCCCCAGCTCCTAGCCCCCTTGTGTAACATGGAATCTGCACCAGAGCATCCAGCAGGGCTGAGCCCACACAAGCCAAGTATCACTAAATTAAAGCTAGCCATATTATGCATTCCTGAAAAAGATCTGCCACTGCCATATATATAATTTCATATATATATATATATATATATATATATATATATATATATATATATATATGAAACTCATATATTTTGGCTGGTTGTGGTGGCTCATGCCTATAATCCCAGCACTTTGGGAGGCCAAGGCGGGTGGATCACCTGAGGCCAGGAGTTTGAGACCAGCCTGGCCAACATGACAAAACCCTGTCTCTACCAAAAAATACAAAAAAAAAAAAAAAAAAAAATAGCCGTGCATGGTGGCCCATGCCTGTAGCCCCAGTTACTTGGGAGGCTGAGTCATGAGAATCACTTGAACCCAGGAGGTGGAAGTTGCAGTGAGCCAAGATTACGCCTCTGTACTCCAGCCTGGGCAACAGAGTGAGACTCTGTCTCAAAAAAAAAAAAAGAAAGAAATTCATATAATATTTTGGAGATGGAACCATTATAGAAGTTCTTTTTCTGTTGTTTCTAAGTTGTGAGGATCTCAAACTGTGAACTGTCACTGGTAGTGACAGCATCCTTTGTATTATGCAGTTGTAGCAGCACCATCAGTGCCCTGCCCCCATGCCCTTGGCCGTCACCATTCCCACACAGGCAATGGCTTCCTACAGCAAGCGCTTCCAACTCATTGCCTAAGAGCTATCTCTCGCTGCAGGAATGTTCTTGGCTGCAGGTGCAGCAGGGAGGATATGCTGCAGGATCTAGTGCCCCTGCCTCATCTCTTAGTGGTGACAACTTTGAGAAGTGCTCTTTATAATCTCCCAAGTTTCTGCAGGGGAATTAAGCTCCAGTTGCCCTTGACAGCAACCTGCTCATTACAGGATCTTGCTCTGTCGCCTAAGCTGGAGCACAGTGGCATGATCATAGATCAGCAGCCTTGAACTCCTGGGCTCATGCAATCCTCCTGCCTTAGCCTCCTGAGTAGCTGGGACTACAGGCACACACCACCATTCCCAGCTAATTTTTTGTTTGTAGAGATGGGGTCTCCCTATGTTGCTCAGGCTCAAACTTCTGGCTTCAAGCAATCCTCCTGCCTTGACCTCACAAAGTTCTGGCATTACAGGTGTGAGCCACTGTGCCTGGCCAGCAACCTGCTCATCAATAAAATTTATCTGTGTCGCCTCTCCACTCCACTGCAAGTTCTTCCTGAGCTCCTACAAATACACTAGTTGCACTCAGATTCTTGTCTTGATGTCTGAAGCCTAACCCAAACCAGCTGCTTACTGGGTTAGTTAAATTGATTCCTCCTTTACGTCTTCCTTTAGGTCCTGTTCTTCAGACTCCAGGATAGACAGGAAGTCATTTTTCACAGAGGAATTTGAAATATGCAAATGACATTCAAGTCCCAGCATAAGAACTACTGTAATTTCTGCCAACCTAATTATGCTCACACCCACAAAATGCCAGAAAAAGAGAAGCTGTCAAAACAAAGATAACAGAAACAAATGCAGCAAAGCAGTCAGCCCTGGCCAGAGTCACCAACTCCTAGATGAATAAGACTCTGCTCTCAGGAGCTCTGATCTCCAAAGCAGGGAGAAATGGAGAAGTAAGGGTCCTCTTCCCTCCGAAACATCCTCATGACCTTTGCCCAGTGATGTTCCTACTCCTTCCCCATCTCCGTAACAGCCTCTGCCCTACACTAAGCAGTAAGAGTCTTACAGGGAAATAATGGTATCCTGTCCAACTGTTGGGCAAGGCTAAAGACTTGTTTGTTTTGTTTTGTTTTGAGACAGAGTTTCACTCTGTTGCCCAGGCTGGAGTACAGCGGTGTGATCTCAGCTCACTGCAACCTCTGTCTCCTGGGTTCCAGTGATTCTCTTGCCTCAGCCTCCCAAGTAGCTGGGACTACAGGCTTGCACCACCATACCTGGCTAATTTTTGTATTTTTAGTAGAAACGGTGTTTCACTAAGTTGGCCAGGCTGGTCTCGAACTCCTGACCTCAACTCAAGTGATCCACCCACCTCGGTCTTCCAGAGTGCTAGGATTACGGGCATGAGCCACCGCACCCGGCTAAGACTCGTTCTTGATTCCTTTTTCTCACCACTCTCATCCAATTCATCAGCAGGCTCCAATGGTGCCTCTAAAATACACCCCAAGGGATTCTGTGCCTCCCTTTCCAGCCTGACCGCTTTGGTTGAAACCATACCCCGCACCAGGGTTACTGCACCAGCTTCTTACCTGGTCCTGTCTGTTTCAACCCTTGTTTCCCTAAAGGGGAGCTAAAGATCAATTTCCCCTGCCTGTGATGCGTGTAGTCCAACTGCACTGTAAGTCCCACTTCCACAATATCTGCTGCTTCTACTAGCCAACACACTCTTGGCAGGATTTAGCTTTCTGCAGAGGTGCAGAAAGTTCCTGGTACCTTAACCCCCACCTCATGAGGGTCAAGTTGGCCTATTTGTGGCAGCAATGCCCTGGTCTCCTCAGCAGGGGGTGTTTGTCGCCAGAGCCAGTCATATGCGCAGTAGCTCCCTGACAGTGGAGGAGGTGGCAGCTCTCTTGATGGCCAATTCTGCAGTGTCACTCAGTAAATTATTCCCAGAGCTCAGGCAGACTTTGATGCTGGTGAATCCCCATCAGAGTCTGATTCTCTAGTTTGTCCAGTGATTTTGCAAGCACCTAATTCACTATATAAATCCCTTTCTGCTTGCCCCAACTGTAAGAATTTGTTACCGATAGCCAACTCTGATGGTCACCACTGCCGTATCTAAAGGGGAATTACAAAGATTGCATGGGTGTATGTTTGAGAACATGTTTAATAAGCCCTTCAAAAGAGGAGATTAAAGTTATGTGTAATTACTCTCCCCATAACCATTGGAAAATATATCCAAGAACTTAAGTCCTTCCCAGGGGGTCTCCATACATATCCCTGGTTCTTGACCTTAGTTTCCAGCCTGAATGCAGCCGCCGCCTCCTCATCTTTGCTGGTGAATCCCCATGCACCTTCTGGAAATCCTGCCCCTACCCAGAGTGCCTGGTCTTACCCGGGGCTATTTCTCTTCCCCCAGGAGTATGCCCAGTGGCTCCCATGTGGCATTCCACAAAATCGTCTGCCACTCCAAGATTGTCCAAATAGTAGGGAGAAAGGAGCTGGAAGCATCGAAGTCCCACCAAGTGGTCCTGTGTGTGCTCATGTCCCTCCCAAGCTCTGCCCCCAGGAGGATTTGCAGAGATGCCTGTTCATGTTTAATTTTCCAGTCAGCTACTGTATCTCCCATAGACATCCATAAATTCTCAAACACACTACCTACAAAGAAGAGGTGAAATAGTTCCCCAGCTGCCTGATTTAGTTAAGCCCACGTATCCATGTCAGAAATTCACAATTCTATGAAAGATTATGACAGTTCCTTTCCTTAATTCCTCATTTCCAAATTGAGCCCCCCCACCCCTTGAACCCGTAGGCTAAAGAAAGGGTTTACTGCTAAGCCACACACTTGCTTATAGCTATTCCATAGCTGCACAAACAGAAACACATTCCACAGTGACCTCTTTTAAGGAGTGGACTAAACTCCTGGCTACCTTACCTTGGAACCTCTGTCTTGTGGGTAAAAGGGGGATTTTAGCCTTTTAGTGATTACCATATTGAATATACAAGTCCAGGAATCTTAATTTATTTTTTAAATAACAATAATGTCTTTAGCAAAGATGTTGTAGCAGAAATGGCATGAAGTGCTCACTGGTTCTATTTGTTTCTAAGAGGACTCAAATCCCTATCCCTAAAGCATCAGCAAAAACTTGCTGTGGCTTCCTAGGGACAGACAGGGAGGATGAGAGGATGAGCTGCTCATACCTTCAGGAAGGCAACGGGGAAGTTGGACTCTGTCTCTCCTCCTCACCGCCCCCTCCCCCCGCCCCCTGCCGCCTCATGCAGGCATACACACACACACACACACACACACACACACACACACACACACACTACCTTTTTTTAAAAAAAATTTATTTGATTTTAAGTTCCAGGATACAGGTGCAGGACGTACAGGTTTGTTATGTAGGTAAACGTGTGCCATGGTGGTTTGTTGCACTTATCAACCCATCACCTAGGTATTAAGCCCCACATGCATTAGCTATTTAAGCTGATGCTCTCCCTCCCCTCCAATCCCTTGGACAGGCCCCAGTGTGTGTTGTTCCCCTCCCTGTGTCCATGTGTTCTCATTGTTCAGCTCCCACTTACAAGTGAGAACATGTGCACACCACATCATTTCTTGGAAGCAGAGGTATCAAAGGCAAGAATTTGGCCACAAAGGTTTGTTCTGCTGGTGAAAGCAGCCTGAAAGGAGACTGGCAACTCATGCTGCCTGTTAATGATGAAATGTGTCCATAGCATTTATCAAGACCCCATTGTGCTTTCACACCAGTCTCCCCAAAGTGGTGTATGACTGTGATAGAGAACAACAGTTGCCTCTCAATAACCATTCTTCCCTTTTTCCTTAGTAACAGAGCTCTTTCATTTCAGCACATTGATGGCCAGAATAAAGGCTGCTTTCCTAGCCCCTCCCTACAACCCTTGTTCTAGAGTTTGCATTTGGCTCAATTCTGGCCAATGGATTATAAGCAGACATGTTGCTGGGACTTCTGGGAAATCTAAAAGGGGATTTAGTAGATATTTCCTCTTCCCTTTCTTTCCCTGCTGCCTGGAATGTAGATGTGATAACAAGCGCTCCTGCAGCCACCTTGGACCACAAAATCAAAGGCCACACCCCAGAACCAAAAGCTGGAAGGAGCTTGGGCTTCTGATAATTTTGTAGCACCAAAATCACAGCACTCAACCTTGGGACTTCTTTTACATAAGACAGAAACAGACAGAGTCATCATGGCAGTGGCCGGGGCCCCGGATGGCATGGAGGAACCTGGCATGGACACAGAGGCCGGGATGTGTCCTGGATGTGTTAGAAAATCCCCATAGATGTGTAGAAGATAAATAGAAATTCCAGGACCCTGAAGACTGCACAGGAGGCAATGACAAAAGGGTGTGGAAGTGAGAAGGCACCAGAAATAAACTTGGCCAACCTGGCTTTTTGCCAATGGCTAATCCTACCTGTGGCCAACATGGCCAGGATCATATAAGCTCACATTGCCAGCTTCACAGGCACCTTTTCTGACATGTACAGAGTAGGCTGCCCCATTAGGGAGAGACACCAATATGTTCCGAGGGTGCGTGCCTCAGCAACCCCATGCACTGCTACCCACCTCACTAAAATAGCTGGAAGAAGACTCACCAGCTGCCCATCAGGAAGGGCATCTAAGGATGTCATTTCCCATGCCTAAGGTTGCAACAGCTGCTGCATGAGGTTCAAAGTTCTCAGAGCCTAGAGGCCACTGGGGGAGGTTTCTTCAGTGAAAACCAGTGGCAGAAGCAATGGGCATGTCCAAAGTACTGCCATGCTGTCCTGCATGTCCAGCAGTTCAGTGTGTGGGCTCTGGACTCAGCTTGAACCTTGATTCCACTTCTTATCAGCTGTCAGACGCTGGGGCTATAACCTAAGTCCTAACTTCCTAGTATGAGGTAAGAGTGGAGCACACAATAACCAAAGGAAATATAATACAAGCTACCAATGCAGCTAAATTACAGACGTAATTTTAAATTTTGTAGTAACCACATTTACAAAGTAAAACGAGGCCAGTTGCAGGGGCTCAAGCTTGTAATCCCATAGCTATGGGAGGCTGAGGTGAGAGGGGGTGGGGAGGGAGGATCACTTGAGGCCAGGAGTTCAAAACCAGCCTAAGCAATATGGCAAAAGCTTGTCTCTACAAGCCTTAAAAATTAGCCAGGCATGGTGGCACACGCCTGTAGTCCCAGCTATTCAAGAGGCTGAGTGGAAGGATCACCTGAGCCCAGGAGGTCAAGGCTGCAGTGAGCCATGATCGCACCACTGCACTCCAGCCTAGGCAGAAAGTGAGACCCCATCTCAAAAGAAGAAATTATTATATAAAATAAAAAGTAAAAAGAAACAGGTAAATTTAGCTTATATAATTTTAACACATTATATCTGAAATATCACTGCAACCAATATTATCATTGCAATCAATATTAAAAATTATTAGTGAGATATTTTACATTCTTTATTCTGTCTACTGTCTTCAAAATTATTGATGTATTTTATGCTCATAGCATATCTCAGCTCCAACTGGCCAAATTTCAAGTACTCAGCAACAACATGCAACTGGTGGCTACCATACTGGACAATAGGGGCAGATGCTGTCAATTCCCTTTACATGTACTGGCCACTAGCAGCTTCTTACTGTAATAACCTTTGACTCTGCCTTGGCACTTCCTCTCAGCTGAACACACAGCAGACCAGAAGTGCTGAGGAAGAAATGCCCCAAGGAACAGCCCTCAATCAATGAAGATTTGCAGTTGGCAGATTAACATCCTACTCCCTGACTCCTTAGATGGAGCAGGACTTCAATTAAATTTTAATTGAAATTAATTTGATGTGATTCAACTTGTCTTTTACTTTTTTTTTTTTTTTTTTTTGAGATGGAGTCTCACTCTGTCACCCAGGCTGGAGTGCAGTGGTGTGATCTCGGCTCACTGCAACCTCCAACTCCCGGGTTCAAGTGATTCTCCTGCCTCAGCCTCCCTAGTAGCTGGGACCATAGGCGCACAACACCACGCCTGGCTAATTTTTGCGTTTTTAGTAGGAACAGGGTTTCACCATGTTGGCCAGGCTGGTCTCGAACTCCTGACCTCAAGTGATCTGTCCTCCTCAGCCTCCCAAAGTGCTGGGATTACCTACGTGAGCCACCATGCCCAGCCATCTTTCACTTTTGTTGCTTATGCTTCTGATTCCCCGTCCAAGAAATCATTGTGAAATCCAGTGTCATGAAGCTTTCCCTCTATGTATTCTCAGGGAAGTTGTACAGTTTCGGGTCTTACGCTTAAATCTTTAATCTATTTTGAGTTCATTTTTGTATATAAGATCCAATTTCAGGCTGGGCGCGGTCACTCATGCCTGTAATCCCAGTACTTTAGGAGGCCAAGGTGGTTGGATCACTTGAGGCCAGGAGTTTGAGACCCTCCTGGCCAAAATGGCAAAACCCCGTCTCTACTAAAAATACGAAAATTAGCCAGGCGGGGTGGTGCATGCCTGCAATTCCAGCTACTCAGGAGGCTGAGGCATAAGAATCACTTGAACCAGGGAGGTTGGAGATTGCAGCAAGGTGAGATTGTGCCACTGCACTCCAGCCTGGGCAACAGAACAAGACTCCATCTCAAAAAAAAAAAAAATTGTTTTATTATTTTGCATGTGGATAGCCAGTTTCCCCAACATCATTTGTTGAAGAGACTATCCTTTCCCCGTTGTGTATTCTGGGTACTCTTTTTGAAGATCAGTTGACCATATGTGCATATGTGTGTGGGTTTATTTCTAGGCTATCTATTCTGTTCTATTTGTCTACATGTCTGTTTTTATTCCATCACACTGCTTTAATTACTGTAGCTTTGTAATATATTCATATTTTGAAATCAGGAAGTATGATGCCTCCAGCTTTGTTCTTCTTTCTCAAAATTGGCTTGGCTACTGGGGGTCTCCTGTGGTTCCATATGAATTTTAGGATTGTTTTTTTCTATTTCTGTTTTTTAAAAAATGCTATTGTGTTAGCCAGGTGTGGTGTCATGTGCATGTAGTCCCAGCTACTGGGGAGGCTGAGGTGAAAGGATTGCTTGAGCCCAGGAGTTCGAGGCTGCAGTGAGCTGGGACGGCACCACTGCGCTCCAGCCTGGGCGACACAGCAAGATCTTGTCTCAGTAAATTTAAAATAAATAAATAAAATCTGTATTTAAAAAAAAAAAGTCTTTGTGATTTTGATAGGAATTGCATTGACTCTATAGATTGCTTTGGGTTGTATGGACATCTCAACAGTATTGTGTTCTAATCCATGAACACAAAATGTCTTTTCATTTATGAATGTATTCTTTAATTTGTTTCATTAATGTTTTGCCATTTTCAGTGGACAAGTCTTTTACCCCCTTGGTTTAGTTTATTCCTAAGTATTTTATTCTTCCTGATGCTACTGTAAATGAGATGGTTTTCTGGATTACCTTTCACATAGTTCACTGCTGATGCATAGAAATTCAATTGACTTTGTATATTGATCTTGTATCCTGCAACCTTGCTGAACTTGTTTATTAGTTCTAATAGCTGTTTAGTGGATTTCTTAGGGCTTTCTATATACAAGTTCATGTCATCTGCAAATACAAATGGGTTTACTTCTTCCTTTTATCTAGATGACTTATGATTTTTTTTCTTCCCTGATTCCTCTAGTTAGAACCTTCAGTACAATGTTGAATAGAAGCAGTGAAAGTAGACATCCTTCTCTTGTTCCTAGTCTTAGAGCAAAAGCAGTCAGTCACCATTAAGTATGACATTTGCTGTGGCTTTTATATAAATATCCTTTATGAGGTTGAGGAAGTTCCCTTCTCTTTCCAGCGTGTTGAGTGTTCTTATCATTAAAGAGTACTGGATGTTGTCAAATGGTTTCCTGAATTTATTGAGAAATAAATGTCTTCTCAGGGGAAAACAGAATTTTAATCAGTGCGTCCTAGTAGATGCAATAATTGTGGCATGGACAGGTTTGTATCCTGTGCCTTGGGTCGCTCCAGAAACACAGCCATTGGGTTTTCTCTATTGGGGACCAGCCAGCTACGGCCCTAAACATTCTTGGAGTGGCTTGCCATCAAGGGGGTGCTGCTCTGGAGCACAAGGCAAGTAGCCACCATCAATCCTTCTGAAATACATAGCTTAAAAAAATCACACTCTGACTTTAAATTTGGCATCAGCACTCAGCCACATTATAATCACACCAGCCAGATTTTTAATTAAGGCCTCAGGCTCCAAATAATTTGGGTGACACATTGATAACAAAATAAGAAAGAGTTATTGCCAAATGACATTTGATTGATGGGCTTGGACCTGTAAAGAGGATTGTCTTGAGACCCTTAACAATATAGTTGACCAAGTTGCTAAATCTTTATAAGCCTCAATAGCATAACCTATTAAATACGTAGAATAATATTTAGCTCATAAGGATGCTATGACGATGAAATGAAATGGTGCAAATAAAGAGACAGTCACAATACTTGGTCCAGGACAAGCTTTGATAAGTGTCATTAATAATTAACTATGAATAAGCCTTCCCACATAGTATTTCAATGATCCATTTTAAATGTCTCTCTTAATAACAACGGCAAGGCATTATTTGTTTTTGTACCTTATTTTTATGAATAAATGAAAGAACAATCCCAGCTAGTAAAGAAAGGAAAAGGAAGGGAGAGGAGGGGTGAGGAGGAGCACTTCTGAGCTCAGTGAATGACTAGGCTGAAGCTCCGTACTATGACTTTTCCATTTCCCTAAAAGCCTTCTGGTTATGTTCTCAGAAGCCACCACCTCTCTCCTCTCCAAAGGACCCCAACAGAATCTTAATCATCACGGATTGGCAACTTCACAACCTTAGCACGCTGACAAACAAAAATCAGCTGTCAATGACACAGAAGAGGCCTGTTTGTCCCCCTCCCACCCTGTTCTCATTCTTCAACCACCAAACCACCTCTCTAAACAGAGGCCGATCTAGGCCAGGCAAGGGAGAAAGATCAGCTATTTGTTGGGGAGCCCTGCTCTCTGGGAACTCAGCGAATTAACAGCAGGATGCCTGAGGGGTAGGTAGTCTACCACCTAGGGAGAGCAGAACAGGGAGGACAGCCAGCTTTTAAAACTCTGCTCTTAACAAAAAAAGAAAGAAAAAGAAAACAATCGGCTTTATTATGAACTTCATAAGGACAAGAACCAGGTTTTGCAATCACTCAAGGTATCTAATACAGTGGCCCTTTAGTCTAATTTATCAATTTTTTTCTTTTATAGTGAGCCTTTTTGTGTCGTGTTTAAGAAATCTTTGCCTACTCTGAGGTCATGAAGGTGGTCTCCTATGTTTTCTTCAAAAGCTTTATTGCTTTACCTTTCACATTTAGATGGATTTAAAAATCCATCTGGATTTTTGTTGTTGTTGTTGTTATGATGTGAGGTAATTTTTCACATGAATATACAATTGATCCAGCACATTTATTGAAATGACTGGTTGGGCACACTGACTCATGCCTGTAATCCCAGCATTTTGGGAGGCCAAGGCAGGAGGACTGCTTGAGGCCAGGAATCTGAGACTAGCCTGGCCAACATAGCAAGATCCTATCTCTATATATTAAAATAACATTTTTTAGAAACCAGATATTTAACACCAATGGTACAGTTTATTTAGAAAAGGCAGGAAACATGCTTCTTTCCTTTCATTAACTAGTTTTATAAATAGAGTTGGTTTGCCCACATCCTCCAATACTGATAACATGAATTTAGGTATTATTATGAATTCATGTACTTAAATATAATCAATGTGTTTCCATCAACTGCAGTTATTACCCTTACTGATGTTCAAAATGTCCCATGTTTAGGAGCCTCTTCTTGCTGGCTCTGCCTCATTTTGACATGACCCTACTGTTTGCTTTTTATGGCTTCCTTGCTTTCCGGTATGTTTGCAGCAATAAATAATGGACAGATAGAAAGTCTTTGGTCAGATAACAATCCCTCAAGGTTGACTGATGGCTCTGTAGAGTTCAGTGTGAGCAGCTACTTGTGCAACAGCTATGTTCAGGGGCAGGGAGACCCAAACCCAAGAGTAACTCCCCCACCCAGAATGGGGCCACCTCGGGGGTGACATGAAAAAGCCAAGCGACCGGGCACGCTGGCTCATGCCTGTAATCCTAATATGTTGGGAAGCCGAGATGGGCAGATCACTTGAGGTCGGGGGTTCAAGACTGGCCTAGCCGACACGGCAAAACCCTGTCTCTACTAAAAATACGAAAATTAGCTGGGTGTGGTGGCAGTGCCTATAATCCCAACTACTCGTGAGGTTGAGGCACCGCTTGAATCCAGGAGGAGGAGGTTGCAGTGAGCCAAGGTAGTGCCACTGCACTCCAGCCTGGGCGATAGAGTGAAACTCCGTCTCAAAAAAAAAAAAGGAAAAGGATAAGGCCAAGCACTCAGATCAGGAAGAAAACAGGGTGCCAGTGGGAGGAGACACTGAAATAATAACAGTAATATTTATGAAAACTCACTGTGTGCCAGAAGCTAGTCTAAGCTCTTTGAAAGTATTAATGTATTTAATCCTCACAATGATCCGGGGGTGAGTATAATCCCCGTATAGTATAAATGGTATTATCTCCTGTTTTACAGACAAGGAGACTGAAGCGCAGAAAGGTTAAATAACTTGCCCAAGGCCACACAGACACTAAGGGATGGAGTCAGGAATCGAACTCAGGCACTTCCCCAGCCCAAATGGAAAAGAAGACAAGCCATTCCTCCTTTATGGATTTGGTAAGGATGGCTGTGGAGGAGGTTCTAGCACCTGGACAATGCCATGAAATAGTCAGCATTCCAGTGTGAATTTCAGTTCGAGCTGGCCTGGGTGGGTTCAATGCAAGGTCAGCCACGGCTACCACTTCATTCCCCTCCCCTTCATTCCCAAGAACTCCCTTCCCTCTCTGTGCCCCTAGCCTCAATGTCCCGCCCTGCCTCTGCCTTTGCTGGAACATTTCTCTGCTTCTTCCCCGGCATCCCTGAGAAATTCACTTCTCAGCCAAGGTGGTAACATTACAAATAAAAGTTTAAAATAGTGCAAATAAAACTTTCTGTTGGATGATTACTAGATGCTAGGAGTAGACACGTGCTTTGCAAATTTTCTCAATTACCCTTATTTTATAGAGGGGGAAGCTGAGTTGTTAAGGGTTTTGTTCCAGATTACAAAGCTAGTGAATGCTGCGCTAGGATCCTCTGCGGATAAGGATGTCTCACTTCTAAGCCCTGCCTGTGCCTCACTCCTAAACTACTACTGCCCTCTGCTGGGCCCGTGACAGCACTGCCTCACTATGCTGCCTCACTATGCTACAGCAGCAGCCCCAGGCGTCTCTATCACAGAAAGGAAGGGGTGGCCAGGAAGAGTATTTCTTGTTCTCAAAGCTCCTGCAGAGCTCCTCAGATTGCACCAGTCAAAAACATATTATTAATATTCTTTGCTATTATGGACACTATTGGGGTAACTGGTGAAATCTGAATAAGGTTATATAACAGTAAAGGGGCATGTCTACGACTTACAAATAATTAAGAAAAAAAAGTGTGTGTGTGGAGTGAGAACATAAACAAATGTGCCAAAATGTTAACATTTGGAAAATTTGGGTGAAGGATGTAGGAAATTCTTTATACTATTCTTACAACTTTTCTGTAAGTCTAAAACTATTCAAAATACAAAGTTAAATAATTACAACTTCAGGAAGCCACCAACCCCAGCTCCCCAGATTCAGGAGGTTCTCTAATAACTGACAGATTACCAGAGGGCTCCCTCCTGGCCCCACTTCCTGATGAACACCATGGTCGACAGGGAATTTAGGGGCCCGTGAGGCTCTGGCGGGGAAGAAGCTCACTCTTGGGCAGTGGCTACGGGTATCGTCAGTGCCCACAGGATCCCATGAATGCCCCCTCTAACACATGCACTGGTGCACAACTACAGGCAGTGACTGGGGACCCCCAAAAAGGATAAGCTTGTGGGTATCCAGAACTGGTCAGCATAGTGAAGGGAGTGGGAGGCATTTCTCGTGAGGAAGAGTGAAAAGAACAAGATGGAAAACTTGGGAAGAGAAGGCTGGGCAGCAAGGGGAAGGCCAGGAGGCACTTAAGAATCATTGTAGACATGTGTTATGCAAAAGAGGAATCAGATTCAGTCTATGAGGTGTAAGAAGACAGAAGGAGGCCGGGCATGGTGGGTCAGGCCCGTAATCCCAGCACTATGGGAGGCCGTGGCAGGCGGATCACCTGAGGTCAGGAGTTCAAGACCAGCCTGGCCAACATGGTGAAACCTCATCTCTACTAAAAAATACAAAAATTAGCTGGGTGTGATGGCGGGCACCTGTAATCCCAACTACTCAGGAGGCTGAGGCAGGAGAATTGCTTGAACCTGGGAGGCAGAGGTTGCAGTGAGCTGAGATTGAGCCACTGCACTCCAGCCTGGGTAACAGAGCAAGACTCTGTCTCAAAAAAAAAAAAAAAAGGCAGAAGACAGGAGTCCTGGGCAAAGGCACTGGGAGGCACACACCATTCTGCCCTATAGCTTGTGATGTAGAATAATAGCACTGGATGGAACAGCAACATTACCTACCCCAGAAGGGTCACCTCGGGACATCCTGAGGCTCACCCTGGGGATGCTCCAGCACAGGGTGCTGACCAGTTATGATGGGTTTCTGAGAGGGGCTGGACTCACTAGAGGAAGTTTCAATCACTGTTTCTCAACCTCAGCTACACTTTGGAGTAAGTCCAGGGAACTGCTTTTTTTAAAACTCATGCCTGCATCCCACCCCCAGAGACTCTTATCTCATTGGTCTGAGATACTGCCTGGGCACTGGTAGTTTTTTAGGTTCCTCAGGCAATTCTAATGTGCAGCCAAGTTTGAGAATCAATGGCTTCAAAGGCTCTACCTCTAAGGCTCCTGGAATCTACGAGAAATAGAGACCATGTGGGCAAGATCAGAGAGCCCATCTTAGCTGCAGGAATAACTTCAGTTGCCTCAGTCAAATCCACCATCGGTCAAATCTTTGCTGCAGGAATAACTTCAGTTCCCTTGGTCAAATCCAGATCAGAATTTACCCTGAACCTAGACTCAGTCTGATGGATGTGCTTTTTACCCTAAAAATGTGTTTAAGTTTGTTAAAATTGAGAAGTGATATTAACGGAAATGGCACAATGGTGTTTATTTCATTTGAGAACTCCCTAAGTTTTGGTTGATTTGGGAACTGGCAGTGTCCTTTGGTAAATATTGGATGGCGTGTAAGTGAGTACGCCATGGCCAGGCCATGAGTCCATCTCTGGGACTTCCCACCCCGACTGCCTGGCCTCTAAATAATCAAATAGAGAAGTTACTCTTGCTTTGTTTCCCTTCCTCTCCTTTCCCAGGAGACCAAAAGGTAAAGCTGCCCTTTCTTCTCAAGGGAAGAGCACTCAGGCCTCTAGAATTCTGGCCCCAGGAGAAAATTAATAGCTGCTTCTGCTGTGAGGTGGGAGTGGGGCCACCTGAAGGCAACTCTACCCAGGCCTTTCCCCAGGCCTGAAGGCTGGATTGTCTTATTGAAGGGAAGGGAGTAGCCCTAGCTAAAAAGTAGATCCTCAAGTCCAAAACGACGGAGGGGCTCATCTCCAGACCTTAGCTCCTCTCCGTCGATGATTTTATCCAGTCTTCCGGCTCCTGGTGTAGAATAACGCGCACACCCTCATCACTCTCAAATTTCTATTTCCATCTCGGACTACTCCCCAGGACTGGACATCCCTGTGTGGGTATCTCACAGGCATCTCAAACCTAGCGTGTCCAAACCCAAACTCCTGACTGACCCTCTCTAATCCACCTCCCACCTGCACCTGTCCTCCCACAGCCGTCCACAGTTTAGAAATGGCAGCACCATCCTTCCGGCCGCCCAAGCCAACTTCACAGCCCTCCTTGACTCCTCTTCGTCCCTCTCCTCCATACCTAATCCTTCTGCAGATTCTGACAATCTGACCATTTCTCACCACCGCCCCACTCCCATATCCCCTGCTGAGCCACGTGTGTGTGTGTGTGTGTGTGTGTGTGTGTCTGTGTGTGTGTGTCTGTGTGTGTGTGTGTCTGTCTCTCTCTCTTCTGGATCGCTGCTGTTGCCTCCTCTCTGATCACCCTGCTTTCACCCTTGGCCCACTGTAGTCTGTTCTCAACATAGCAGCCCTTTGCAAACAAACACCACTTTGACACTCCTAGGCTCTGAACTCCCCAACAGCTTCTTATCTTGCTCAGAGTAAAAGCCAATGGCCTTGGCCCTGTGTAATTCCCCTGGGTTTCCTGCCAGTGCTCCTCCCCACTTCCCTGCTCCATCCACCCTGCAGTTCCTCCACAGCACAGGTGTCTTTGCACTTCCCCAGATACCTGAACAGCTCCCTCCCCCACAGCCTCGAGGTGTGTCCATTTGCCCAAACACCACCTCTGCAGTGAGGCCTTCCCTGTTCACCCTATTTAAAATGGCAACCTCTCCCTACCAGCAATCCCTCTTCCCTCCTTCTGGCTACATTTTTCTCCATCTAACATCCTTTCTCAGGTTTGTCGTTCTTCCCTAAAATGAGCTCCATGAAACAAGGACTTTTTGTTGCAGTGTCTGGACAGGGCCTACCCCAGAGCAGGCACTCCACAAGTGCTGGCTGAACACACAGCCAGCGGCGGCTCACGCCTGTAATCCCAGCACTTTGGGAGGCCAAGGTGGGTGGATCACCTGAGGTCAGGAGTTTGAGACCAGCCTGGCCAACATGGCGAAATCCTGTCTCTACTAAAAATATAAAAAAATTAGCGGGGTGTGGTGGCACATGCCTGTAATCCCAGCTACTTGGGAGGCTGAGGCAGGAGAATCACTTGAACCTGGCAGGCGAAGGTTGCAGTGAGCTGAGATCCAACCACTGAACTCCACCCTGGGCAACAGAGGGAGACTCTGTCTCAAAAAAAAAAAAAAAAAATTGTATTGCCTAGGTTTTCTTCTAGGGTTTCTATGGTTTTAGGTCTAACATTTAAGTCTTTAATCCATCTTGAATTAATTTTTGTATAAGGTGTAAGGAGGGGATCCAGTTTCAGCTTTCTACATATGGCTAGCCAGTTTTCCCAGCACCATTTATTAAATAGGGAATCCTTTCCCCATTGCTTGTTTTTCTCAGGTTTGTCAAAGATCAGATAGTTGCAGATATGCAGCATTATTTCTGAGGGCTCTGTTCTGTTCCATTGGTCTATATCTCTGTTTTGGTACCAGTACCATGCTGTTTTGGTTACTGTAGCCTTGTAGTATAGTTTGAAGTCAGGTAGCATGATGCCTCCAGCTTTGTTCTTTTGGCTTAGGATTCACTTGGCAATGCGGGCTCTTTTTTGGTTCCATATGAACTTCAAAGTAGTTTTTTCCAATTCTGTGAAGAAAGTCATTGGTAGCTTGATGGGGATGGCATTGAATCTGTAAATTACCTTGGGCAGTATGGCCATTTTCACCATATTGATTCTTCCTACCCATGAGCATGGAATGTTCTTCCATTTGTTTGTATCCTCTTTAATTTCATTGAGCAGTGGTTTGTAGTTCTCTTTGAAGAGGTCCTTCACGTCCCTTGTAAGTTGGATTCCTAGGTATTTTATTCTCTTTGAAGCAATTGTGAATGGGAGTTCACTCATGATTTGGCTGTTTGTCTGTTATTGGTGTATAAGAATGCTTGTGATTTTTGCACATTGATTTTGTATCCTGAGACTTTGCTGAAGTTGCCTATCAGCTTAAGGAGATTTTGGGCTGAGACGATGGGGTTTTCTAGATACACAATCATGTCATCTGCAAAGAGGGACAATTTGACTTCCTCTTTTCTCAACTGAATACCCTTTATTTCTTTCTCCTGCCTGATTGCCCTGGCCAGAACTTCCAACACTATGTTGAATAGGAGTGGTGAGAGAGGGCATCCCTGTCTTGTGCCAGTTTTCAAAGGGAATGCTTCCAGTTTTTGCCCATTCAGTATGATACTGGCTGTGGGTTTGTCATAGATAGCTCTTATTATTTTGAGGTACATCCCATCAATACCTAATTTATTGAGCGTTTTTAGCATGAAGCATTGTTGAATTTTGTCAAAGGCCTTTTCTGCATCTATTGAGATAATCATATGGTTTTTTTCGTTGGTTCTGTTTATATACTGGATTACATTTATTGATTTGCGTATGTTGAATGAGCCTTGCATCCCAGGGATGAAGCCCACTTGATCATGGTGGATAAGCTTTTTGATGTGCTGCTGGATTCGGTTTGCCAGTATTTTATTGAGGATTTTTGCATCGATGTTCATCAGGGATATTGGTCTAAAATTCTCTTTTTTGTTGTGTCTAACCTAGGCAATACCATTCAGGACATAGGCACGGGCAAGGACTTCATGTCTAAAACACCAAAAGCAATGGCAACAAAAGCCAAAATTGACAAATAGGATCTAATTAAACTAAAGAGCTTCTGCACAGCAAAATAAACTACCATCAGAGTGAACAGGCAACCTACAGAATAGGAGAAAAATTCTGCAATCTACTCATCTGACAAAGGGCTAATATCCAGAATCTACAATGAACTCAAACAAATTTACAAGAAAAAAACAAACAACCCCATCAAAAAGTGGGCGAAGGATATGAACAGACACTTCTCAAAAGAAGACATTTATGCAGCCAAAAGACACATGAAAAAATGCTCATTATCACTGGCCATCAGAGAAATGCAAATCAAAACCACAATGAGATACCATCTCACACCAGTTAGAATGGCGATCATTAAAATGTCAGGAAACAACAGATCCTGGAGAGGATGTGGAGAAATAGGAACACTTTTACACTGTTGGTGGGACTGTAACTAGTTCAACCATTGTGGAAGTCAGTGTGGCGATTCCTCAGGGATCTAGAACTAGAAATACCATTTGACCCAGCCATCCCATTACTGGGTATATACCCAAAGGATTATAAAACATGCTGCTATAAAGACACATGCACACGTATGTTTATTGCGGCACTATTCACAATAGCAAAGACTTGGAACCAACCCAAATGTCCAACAATGATAGACTGGATTAAGAAAATGTGGCACATATACACCGTGGAATACCACGCAGCCATAAAAAAGGATGAGTTCATGTCCTTTGTAGGGACATGGATGAAGCTGGAAACCATCATTCTCAGCAAACTATCGCAAGAACAAAAAACCAAACACCGCATGTTCTCACGCAGGTAAGAATTGAACAATGAGAACACTTGGACACAGGAAGGGGAACATCACACACCGGGGCCTGTTGTGGGGTGGGGGAGGGGGGAGGGAAAGCATTAGGAGATACACCTAATGTTAAATGATGAGTTAATGGGTGCAGCACACCAACATGGCACATGTATACATATGTAACAAACCTGCACGTTGTGCACATGTACCTTAAAGTATAATAATAAAAAAAAAAAGAAAGAAAGGAGAGAGGAGAAAAAAGAAATCATCAAGACCAGTGTGCGGGGGGCTCTGGATATGGAAGGATGCCAGATGCAGGCAACTGCACAGGTGCTCTGACGCCACTGGCCTAGGGCCTCCTATGGACTTCACAGGGCTGGACAACAGAGCCTTCAGCAGATGGAGTTGAGCCCAGGGACCCTCACCACTTCAGCAACATGTGAGCCCTCGGCTCCTGGTGCAACAAAAGGGAGCAAAGCAGCCAGGGAAAACGACTCATGTTGGTTTTCCCATCAGTCTTGGAAACTGGTGGCTTGCAGTCAGATTTTGTGGGGTTTAGGAAAGTAAGTGAATGCAGTGGGTTTTTCTGCATCTTGAATGTTGGCGAGCAATTCACTGAGGAAATTCCAATGGTAGTAGCTTTCCTATGGGTGAAAATGGCAGAGGCCCCTGTCCAAAAGGTAATCAATCTAGAGGTCCCACTGGCCTCAGACATTTGCCCTGGTAAGGCTGGCCTGCTGGCTCCCAGGAGTTCAGACCCTTCTGTCCTGGGGCAGGAGACACACAGTGAGGAGACAACATAAGGCCTCCCCAAGGAAGTGCTGTTGACGGTGAGAACTGCTAGGAAAAGAGGAGTTAGGCAGGCTGACGAAGAGCTGGGAAAGGAAAAAAACTGGGCAGAGGGCCCACGCCAGGGCCCGGGACAGGCGCACACCTGGAACAAGGAAGGACAAGCGGCAGCTGTGGCTGTGAAGGCAGGGCCCGAATGCGTGGGTCAGGCACTGGCCAGCTCACAGATGGCCCCAGAAGCCTCGTTACCAAGTCTGAACTTTAACCTCAAGACCCAAAGGGTTCCAAGCAGAGAGCTCATCCCAGCTATCATGCAAGAAATGGATTAGAGAGGTGGCCAGGCTGTAGGGAGAGGGCTAGAGGCTGCCTTAGAAATCCTGGCAGGAGATGGGGCCTGGCCCAGAAGGCTGGCAGTAAGGATGATTCCGAGGATGTTTGGAAGGCAGAACGGGCAGGCTTGGGTGACTGATGAGATCACTCCAGTTACTGGCTTGTGTGACAGAACACATGGGTAGTTAGAGAACACAGGACTCAGGACATGGGTCATAGGTTTGGGTTTTATCATGCAAAGTCTGTGTGAGAGGCCTCACAGGCAGCTGGAAATGCAGGCCCACTTGGGCTAGAGACATGGACTTGGGAAGTGTTGAAATGAGTGTGGTGATCAGGATCCTGGGAGGGGGTGGGAACACCTAGAGGGGAGAATTCAGTGGGCGAAAGAGAGCCTCAGGCAGAATGCCACCACCCAAGGGATGGCCCAGAAAAGAGACACCCAGAAAGAAGACCGAGGAGGAGCAACCAAGGGCAGGAGGAAAGCCGGGGGGGCAGGTTGCCAAGGCCAAGGACAGAGGGAGTCTCTAGAAGCAAGCGGTGGTCAGCAGCATCCTGGGAAATAATGCTGGCTCCACATAAGCAACCAAACGTCCACACCCCTGGCCTTCCGCCACCCCCACCATCGAAAACCACACATGATCTAGAATTTAATATATGTTTATTTGTGTAGTAGGAACATTCAGGTATATAAATAAGGTAAATGCTTTCCAACGTACAGTATATCATGTTCTTACATTGCGTGGAAAAAGAACCTACATGTATTGTTCAACATGGATCACGAGTGCACAGAGAGAGAGATCAGCTGCATTTAGTGAAACGCCAAGTTGGGAAAATGGCACAGCAGTAGCGCACAGGCACACAGCTATCTGGGGAGGCTGTGGGGACTGTCACGTGGACTCTACACACCGAGAACTGCTTCAAGGTCGCCTGTGTCTGAGTGCGGGTAAAGTGAATATCAACACCCAGGCTATCAGGGTGAGACAACTGAATTCCATCATGTCCATCCACTTTACAAAGGGGTGGGAGGCACCATGGAGAAACTGACCAGAAATGCTCTGCCCTGTCACAGAGGAGACAGAGCCAGGGCAGACACGGCTGACCTCTGGGAGGCACAGACACTGGCAGTGATGGGTCCCATGGGATGCCTGGCACTCCCAGCACAGACAGCTCCCCAAAGCAGGTGGGGAGGCCCTTTCTGTGTTTGGGAACTTTTTAGTTAAACAAATCCTCAGAATCGAATTAAGAAGGATGTCCACAGCTCGATCAAAAAAAAAAAACCAAAAAAAAAAAAAAAACCACCAAGGTTCCCAAGATCCTTCAACAGAGGGGCTTCCCATCTGATCTTACCCTCCTGTTTCAGAAGGTATTAAACATCAATAAAAATTAAAATATATTATCAGTATCAACTCTAGAAGATAACCCATGGCTTCAAATCTCCCTGGACGGGTTCTCTGAGCCCAGATTTCTGGTCCCCAACTCGTATGACATCCAGGGCCAGCGAGCGTTCAGCTGGCATCTGTTAGAGTCTGCCCTCCACTGTGAGACTCCTGGCCCCTCCGTGGCCCTGGTATTCCTCCTGCTGCTGCCCCTAGGAGTCCTCCAGCTGGATAACAATAAACCAAACCGCTGTCTCCTAATCCCTGACTTGTTCTCCTGACTCCTAGTCCTTTGGTTTCATCGGCCCCTGATGTCTGTTCAACTCTTCCCCTTTGTAATCAGCCCCTAGCACCCAGTCAGCATGACGTAAGACAGAAAAACAGTTTACTAAAGGCCAGAGCCCTGTGCACAGAGGATTTAAAAGAAACAGCACCCAAAGGACACTCATGAAAACATGTATGCACATTCTGCCTGCTAGAAAACATTCTCAACCTCTTTTCTACTCTGCTGTTCCTTTAAGAAAAGCCAGCATACAAGAACCTAGCGCAGGTGTCAAAAAAAGGCATCCAAACTGCGAGGACAGAGGTGGCTATGTGGATGATTATCGGCAAACACAGTTTCACTAGAGACAAAATCACCAGGTGGCTAACCCTTCTGAGTGCTTTATGCAGGCAAGGTCCTCTGGGGGCTGCAAAAGGCTAGGCCCTGCCCAATGCCCGGGAGACCACTGCAAAGGCATTCTCTGCTTGATTTCCAGAGGGCCCTTACCACAACCCCCTCCCCGGCCCAGCAGTGGAGGCTTTCTATGGATACAAGGCTGCCTAGGTCTATTCAACAACACAATGAGGGAGGAAGCACCAGGCAAGGCAAACACAAACCCAGAAGGACAGGAGGGCTCGGGGGCAAGCCTGGGATTGGCCTGTCACAGCAGCTGCTTCCTAGAAACCCCCACAACCATCTTCTCCTGGTTCATGGCATTATCATTACTTCAGCAATTCAATGAAACAGAGGGACCATTATTTCCATACTATTAATAGCAATGTGCTGTTGGGTCCCACTAATACCCAGGAAATAATCCACAGTCAAACCAGTAGTTCAGTTATTATTCAACTGACCTAGGAATTTCATGGATCCTGTTAGCCAACACCATTCCTTCAAAGTGAGGCAGCCTCCCCTTACACACACGTGCCCCAACTCCCCACCCCCATTCAGAAAACTAAGTTCAAGAAACTCTTTTCATTAAGTCCTGTGCCTGTTCTCCCTTCATTCATGAGTCACCCATTTGAGTCTTTGCTAACCTAGAATCCGGCAGAAATACCTCACATCATGTGTCCTCAATGGGTCACCCACTTCTACCCGGTTACTACTTTTAGAAGGAAACATGAAGCTCCAGATTGGCTGCGTCATAAGGATGTGGGCAGAACTTCTAGGCTTTTAGTCTACATAATCCCCTACAAAGCAGGTTTCTGTTGTCCCCATTCTTCTCTTCTTGGCCCCTGAGGACATCCACCCATACAGGGAACTGCTGCAGGCTCCTGAGCTATGTGCACAGAAGACAGCCCTTGGCCAGAGCGGGAAGTGGGGTCCAGAGCGAGTCACAGACAGGCCCTCCCTGCCCAGAGTGGAGGTACCACCAGACAGGAGGAGATGGCCTTCCCACAAGCAGTCCAGACTGTGGGCAGAGGAGGTGAGCTGGATTCTCAGGCCAGCCATTCTCACTAAGAACAGAACTTCTGCACACCCCCATGTCCTCTTGCCTCGTTAGGGTGGCCTCCTAAATGGTGTGTGAAGCACCAAGATGCTGTAGGGGATGTTAAGGTTGGCGTGCTTCTCTCGGAGGGACCCAGACTGTGTGCAGGGTGGTGGCAGTGTGGTGGCTGACAATCCCATCTCTGGCATTGCACCAACGGAGGTCAAACTACCAGCTGAGCTCAACAAAAGTAACTACCATTTATTGAGTGCTTACTATGTGCCAGGCATGGTACTAAATGCTTACATGCATTACCTCGTTATATCCTCACAACCACCCCAGGAAGAAGGTACTATTATCAGACCCAACTGCCTTCAAGGTAGAAGCTTAGAGCAGCCTAGAAACCTGCCCGCACCTAGGGTGATTTGATCCCAAAGTCTGTCTTAACCACTGCTCTCGGCCTCAGTCATACTGCCTCAGTTTCCTCATCTATAAAATGGAGACAACAATACCTAATCAAAGGCTGTTTTCTGGATTAAAAGGGATAACGTATGTAAACCCTTAGCACTATGCCTGGCACATATTAAGCACTATACTATTGCAATCCTTATTAATAAACACACTGATATCTCATTGGCTCAAGAATAAAAAGAGAAGGCGCCTCAGTAGGTAGGCATTTGATGGGAAAAGGAAGGGGAGGGTGGGGGAGGAGACAGGGTCTTTAAACAGCCAACAAATTTGAAACCCACTGGACAAAAAACCCTAGACTTCACAAACTCTGCCCCTCTATTCTCATAAATCATCCGCATGTCCTCAAAATCCCAACACTTCAGCATCCAAAGGATACCTCCTAAACTGCACTCAAAGTGCGTTGGGAAACATGGTCCCTATACAAACAGGTGACAGCCTTAATCAAGAGACAGCCCCAGATGAGAACAGCCTCCATCCACCTGAGAGGCCAGGTAAGGCCACTGCTGGTCAACCTGAAAGGGAAGGGCGCATTCAGATGGCAACAGCAGCCAGGACTCTTCTGAGAATAGGGCCCACCTTCTGCAGGGATGTGGATAAGGAGAGTCCAGGCCCAAGAGAAGGTGGGCCAGGCAGAGCCCTGAGATAAGAATCCTTCGTGACCACTTGGTTTAAACCCTAGCACCCCATGCAGGTTGTGGCACAAGGCCCCCACCCAACAAGAGAAACTGAGTCAGGAAGTGAGAGCTGTTCATCTCTTTAAAAACTGGAAGCTGGGCAGCTGCGTGCAGGGTGATCAAGGGAAAAGGAAGTTTGTTTTGACCAAGTCAGGGAAGAATACGGGGCTCTGCCTGAGTATTAGCCATCATCTTCAGGCCAGAGTTTGTTCCACCTGCTCTTTGGAGTCCAGTGTTCCAAAGCACAAGTGAGAGTCCATCCGCGGCTTACTGTCTTGCAATGTGTCCATAAAAGTCACCTGGACATCCTCCCCACCCTGACCTCAGAAGAACAGAAACCTGTTCAAGTGAAATTGTCCTCCCAACTCCACCCTTTTCTTAGCACATAATCACAGTGTGCAAGAAAGGTGGGCCCAGATATGTTACTCTGGAAGACAAAAGACAATAGTGCCTAAGATATTACTAAAACAGGAAAAGGCTTCAGCAGTGACATACCACATTTAGTAGGGTGATGAAAATCTACCCCCTTGGACATGCAACTAGGACTGGCTTTGTAACTAACAAGACCCCTGCTTCACAGTTTTCTGAGCAAGGACACTCTGTCTCAAGTCACTTATACTCTCCCACTACCCGACTCTGTCAATAGTGGAGATGAACCTGAGCTTTGGGAAACATGGTCCCCATACAAACAGGTGACAAGGGCTGAGCCAAGGGCTCACTGACAGTGTGAAGATCTCAACTCAAAGATCCATTCAAATAAGGCTCCAGTCAACTCAGCAACTAGCTCAGACCAAATCACAAGGTCTGTGTAGTCTCCCTTAAAACATATTTTTGGGATTTTCTTGCATAATATAGGTCAAGTTACAGTGGAAAAAAATTCTATAAAAATGGATTCAAAGTCCACCTGTGTAAAGTCAAAAGTTGTATCCTCCCCAATGAAAGAGATTAGTTTCAAAGGATGTGAAACTAGTTCTCATACATTATAGGGCTGTACAATACTAAGAGTAATTACATTTTAAATGCAAAATACTGTAGCTACTAAAATGCCCAGAATATGAAACAAGTTGCCTAAGAGGGTTTCACTTTCAGGAGTAAAACATAAATGGAACCTTTCTGAATACTAAAAGCAGTTAAGAGGGCAGCATGCGCACACACAAAAGGCAAAGACTCGGTACCCTGTGAGCGGTCATGAGCAGAGCTCCCAGGGGCTGGGGGGTGCCCATCAGCCCTGGTTTCTATGACCCCCTTGTTCCACCAGGCAGGAGCCAACAGCAATTTAAGCTCCAACCTGGCTCAGGCCAGGCCTCCTGAGCTAGAGGGAAGGAAAGCTGCAACACCTCGGTGTACTCACACGACGTTCACAAAAGCAAGCAGGGCTGGGGGACCCTCCAGGTGTCCTGTGGGTAAAGTGCAGGATGGAGTGAGTCCTGACTCCACCACACTATCCTGGGGAAGCTCCCTGCCTGGTAAGGTGCTCATGACTCTCACCCGAGGTAAGAAGGCTGTTGTGAGAATGTAGGGATACAAGTTGGAAAGCAAAGCAAAAGTCTCTGAATCAGGACTATGCAGTATTCATGAATACATAAACAAATGAGAAGCATAAAACCATGCATGGAAGTGATAAACAGGGAATTCACGACAAGGGAGGGCACACAGTTGCAGTCACATTTTATTTCTGACCAATAAAAAAAAAATGGGTCTAAAGCAAGTGATGCCATTCATGAAGATTTGAATGTACACACGTAAAAATGGTTTCTTGAATCTTGTCTGTGAATAGGAAAGAGAAACATTGTGCTATATGGACACAAGGTGGCAGTGCTCTCCTAGCTACCTGACAAAAAATCCTCATCTCCAGAAAGCATGCAGGAGAAATCAGAAAATAAAACACAAGCTGACCCTCTGGCCTGCCTGCTAGCAGCTCTAGTGCGCACTCAGCTTCGGCTTCCTAGACCCCCCTTCCCCACCCCACCCCCACCAAGTAACCACTTCCACAAAGGAACATGATGAGCCTTGCCCAGTATGCTCGGCTCCCTGATCCCAAAGGCAGCCCTATTCAAGAGCAGGTCTCTGCAGCCAGGCCCCAGCTGAGACTCCCTCCTCTCAAGGAGCCCACCATATGCCCACAATGGGACAAAAGAGACAAATGAGGAGCCCTTTCGGTATCTAGTTTGGTGATCCAGGTTCATTCTTCAATCTGAAAACTACAGTTTCGTTATTGATCACCTTTACTGTTCGGGTGTGCTGCTGAGATACCTACTCACCTTAAGGATAAGCATGTAAGGGCCTGAAAACACTTCCTGTTTGGGGGGTGCCCAGGACCTCACTTAATGAGCCTCTACCGGCATGAACTTGCTCAGCCAGAATCACAGAAGAGTGGAATTGGGAGTAGCTCCGAAAAAGAGGCCCTGGAGAGTGATGCATCCTGCCAGTGACACAGCCAATACTGAAATGAAAGCCCTTGCGATAATATGTTTTGTTTTTAAGGGGCCTTGGACCTGAATAAGAGAAGCCACGAGGCTGAAATGGAAATAAAAGTTCAGCGGAAAGAAGCCGCTTCAGCCCCACACACATATGGGAAGTCACTCAAGGATGTGTGAGCTGAAACATCCCGAGGGCTCCATCCTCTGCTGGACACTCTAGAGACCTGGGCTGACTGTGCACTTTCAGGGAGGCAGTGAGGCTAATTTACAAACAAAAACACCACAAACCAGCACTAGACCAAGGTGCAGAAGCAAATCATTACACCCTCGTTGGCAATGAAAACATCCACGGCACGGAATAGTTTGATATATTTGGGTGCCAAGTTCTCTCTCCCGCACTCCATCACTTGTTGGCCTGACAAAGAACTAATCTGTCTTCCCAAAGTCAATCTCACCCCTGAAATTAGGGAGGGGAAAAAAAATCACAGTTTAAGCAAACAACAACAACGAAAGGTCCCCCAGTACAATACAAACTACATTTAAACTGGTCACATTATATAAAAAGTGTGCATTTAATCTTCAAAATAGTCAAGGCTCTAATCAGGTTAGGTTTTCCATAGTTTTAAGCAGGACTTTGTGGTTTTAGTGAAGAAGTCATGGTGCAATTGAAATCACTGTAAGAAATAAGTGACTTTTAAAACAAACACAGACACACACACTCCTCTTAAGAGTAATATATACACAACACAGCAGCTACATGGGTGTTCAGGCAAAGGGTGCATGAACGAGAAGCCCTCTGCTCCCTGCCCGATGAGAAAGTCCCCAGAAAGGATTCAGCAGCAGCAAGTCTACAGCACAAACATGGATGGCATTGTCCCTGAAAACACACAGTTAGGTGGACCTACAGGAGACATTGGAGCCTAGACATGTGGGAAAGGGCTCAGTTACAGTACATTCTACTGCATACACTTGAAATATTACAGTGTGTTTTTTCTCCAGACTATTATAAATAATTTTTCGTGCTTTCTGAAAAAAATAAAAACTGAAACTTTCAGTCTGCGATGAAGGTGAACCCATCTTATAAAGCAGAGCTTACTTACATTCTGCAGGATTTTGGTGTGGATGCATAGAAGGCTTACCTGGTTAGTAAGCCTCCATTCCTCCGACCTACAGAAGGCAACCCTTCTGCAGCTCCAAGCAGGGATTTCTAGAAAAGACCAGGTGTACAAAACATCTAAGCTGTGCCTCCCACCACAGGTGGGGAAGTCCCCTGATTTGGTCAGACACAGATGAATGTCTGTGTCTGACTGAGCCCAGAAACAGTTCAATTGATGGGGGCTGGAACCACCAAGAAAACACTCCTGACCTGGGCAACACTGTCTTCCAGATTATTAATACTTTTGTTTTAAAAAAATCCAAATGGTTTTACAACCCGTGACTTCTTTCCAACTCAAAGCTGTAGTTTACTTACAACACAAATTCTAAACACATAGACTGTATATACAGATTTTTTGAACCCACAAATAAAAAATACCCTCCAAAAAAAAAAAAAAAAGACAGTGAGTTGAAGCCTCGTCATTGTCTAAGTCACACCAGCTGGGCTTGCCTTGGAGACCTGCCCCTGCTCAGTTCTGTTCCTGTTCTCCTGGCCCTGGGTGGCCCCTACTCGTCCTCTGTGGTGGATGTCAGCATCCCTTTGTCGATCAGATGAGACCGCAGCGTGTTGAAGATGTGGAGCTGCTGATCTGGCCGTAAAGTCAGGAACTGCTGAATCAGTTTGCTTGGGTTAGGGCCTCTGGAACAGAATGTGAAGAAACAGCACTGAGCTAGGGCCCGGAAGCTTCCAGGGCCTGATTATCTGAGTGGCTGCTCTGATCTCTGGATCAGAGAGTTATCTATTAACAGATGACAGGAGGCCTCAGAAAATCTGTAAGCAGAAACAACTGAAAACTGCATTATTTGGGATGCTTTTCACTGGAACTTAGATGCCGCTAAAATTCTAGAATTGCACCGTACTTAAAAATCCACCAACTTGGTTCAGATGGAAAGGTACTATACCTGATAAAACTGGCGATGTATACATTGACAAAGGTGGCCATCAGATACTGGCAGTCAAAGCGATCCATGATGCCTCCATGGCCAGGAATGGTATTGGCAAAGTCCTGTTAGAGGCAGGGGAAGGATGGGTGAACTTGGGCTCAGCCACTAACCAATCCCAGCCTAATGGTCCCACCCCAATGTCAGGCTTCTGTGCTGAGTAGCTGAGGGCAATAGAAGGTGAGAAGTATGAAATCTAATGGTGAGGCTATATTAGGACACAATTTTATTGCATTACAAAATGTTCTTATTTCATTTACTTAATAAAGACAGGAGTCTTGCTATGTTGCTCAGGCTACTTTCTAACTCCTAGCCTCAAGTGATCCTCCCGCCTTGGCCTCTTAAAGTGCTGGGGTTACAGACATGAGCCACTGCCTGGCCCAAAATGTTCTTTTGAAGAAAGATATATTAACAAATAAACTGAAAAACAACGATTGCATTTTCCTGAAAATATTGTTATTAATTAACTCACCTAAATTCAGTGCATGGGTCAAGATCACACATTAAATGCCAGGGTGTACAGCCTAGTATTTTGGAGGGGGCAGGGAAGGGGGAGAAAGGCAGAAGATGGGTGAGGGAGTGAGATGAGAGGAACGTAAGACGGTTTTCCTACTTTGATTTTAAAGGCTCGTTTGAATCCACTTGCGAAGAATCCTCCAAAGGGGCCAATGAGCGAGGCAAAGGTGGAGAGAGCGATGCTGTGAATCTGGAAGGGGTACATCCGGACCGTTTTCTGAGAAGAGTAAATGAAGTAAAAGTTTAGGTGCATACATGCCCAGTGTTACGGTTTGAGTTGTCAACTCATGTTGAAATTTGATCCTCATTGTGGCCTCACTGGGAGGTGATGCCTAGTGGGAGGTGTTTGGGTCACAGGGGCAAATCCCTCATGAATGGCTTGGTGCCTTTCTCCTAGTAGTGAGTTCTGTCAAGAGACTAGATTAGCACTGGCATCCCGAGGGAATGGGTTGTTATGAAGTGATGAAGCCCCTGGTTTTGCCTCTTTGCATGTGTCTGCTTCCACCTTTGACCTTCTCCGCCATGTTACAATGCAGCATAAAAAGCCCTCACCAGAAGCCAGGCAGCAGCCAATGCCACACTTCTCACACTTCTCAGCCTGCAGAAAGAAGCTAAGTAAACCTCTTTTCTTTGTAAATTACCCAGCCCCAAGTGTTCTATCAACACTAGACAGACCAAGACATCCAACCTCGTAACTCTTTATGAAACTAATTATATACATGTAGGTTTTAAATCAATAAGAGGAGTGAATTTTTCCCATTTTGTAAATTTCTAATATCTAAGTTAATGGAAAACATTAAAATATTCTGCATTCAATCTGTTGCAACATGCTGTTTTGGTGGAAGTATATAAAGAAAATCCAGCCGTACGCAGATACATAGTTGAAAAGAGTATTTTAGTCGTAGCCTCAGATGGTTTTGGGTATTCTCTGACACTACACCAGAGCTTGACAAGTAGTCATTTCTTGAATATTAGGTGTGATATGGAATCTAGAATTCTATCAATGGACTTTGTTCTCTCTTACATTAAAATCCATTGGTCTATCTTATACTTGAACGGATCTTTTACCCATGCATGACTATATAACACCATGCATCAGCCATTTAGAAAATAATGGTTCACTGAGTTATGTAAATCTTCCAAATGTAGACACATTTCATTATACCGTGTCAAATATGTTTGTGTTTTTTCTCATGTGATCAACACACACACACACACACACACACACGTACGTTAAGAATCATCACAGACCTCATCAGAAAAGGCTTTTAAGTATTAGGAAGCTGTCAAGTTCACAGTGGCAGGTTAAGCTTTCCAAAATTCTAATTTTCATTTGAAAGCCAAATTTTATCCTTGGTAACAATTACTGTCAGTCATTTTTCTTTTCTTTTTTTTTTTTTTTTTGAGACAGTCTCACTCTGTCACCCAGGCTGGAGTGCAGTGGTGCGATCTTGGCTCACTGCATCCTCCGCCTCCTGGGTTCAAGCAACTCAACCTCCTGAGTAGCTGGTAGCTGGGATTACAGGCACACGCCACCATCCCCAGCTATATTTTTTTGTATTTTTAGTAAAGACGGGGTTTCGCCATGTTACCCAGGCTGGTCTGGAACTCCTGACCTCAAGAGATCTGCCTGCCTCGGCCTTCCAAAGTGCTGGGATTTCAGGTGTGAGCCACTGTGCCTAGCCTCAGTTGTTTTCTTTAAAGTGATAGGCTCACTTCATCCTTTTCAAGAAAAATGTCTGCCAAATACCCAAGTCTGAAAAATTATAATTTGTTGGTTCTTTCCAAGTAAAATTTACTTTCTTTTCTAAAAAAAAAGCAGCTAATTTAGCTCACAACTCAAACAACTGCACACATGCTTTCCCTTTAGGCAAGCACTGTACTACAGTACTTAGCAGAAATGTTTTACACATACTTTCCATTTCAGTAGAGAGTGTTAAAAAGGTGTGTGTACAAAGGTCAAGATTTAACAAAATTAGTAACTTTACTATTTCATAGACATTCATTAGAACTGGCCTGTTTGTACTGTGAGTGTGTGGCATGAGGAACCCACTGCCTTAACGCAGTTTTAACCACTGCTGCTTTTGCGCCGTATCACAGCAAATGTCAACACATTGAAAAAGGAAAATAATGTCATAGTCTAATTATGAAACAGTTGTGACCTCACAGACCCCCCCACCCTACCCCCGCAACTAAAAGGATCCCAGGGCCCTCCAGGGATCCACAGAACACACTTTGAAAACCACTGGTCTAAACAATCTGATGTTGGGGGAAAGCTGTCCTGCCCATACCCTGACCTGGCGTGAGCAATTCTCCTTCATCCTGGGGCTTACAGCTTTGGGAAGGAGGAAGCTAGCTTTTTTCAGAGGGCAGGTGATGGAGGGGGATCTCTCTTTGTAGCCACTGTCCATGGAGGCCGCTCACCCCCTGTGAGTGGCACATACCCAGCCAATGACTGACTGGATCACCCCAGGAATGTTGTACTCCTGCAGGCGAAACAGGTCCGAGGGCTCACAGTCCACAGTGAAGCTGTTGGTGTCATTGTTGTACTCCACAGGGCAGACAAAGCATCTGTACCCGGACATCACATAGGACAGCTGAGGAGGAATAACAGAGAGACCGGCAAGGAAGTAAGTTCCAACCATCCAGCCCAGACACAGGCACCTGGTTTGGCCATGTTCCTGAGGGTGCCTAGTACCCTGCTAACTGCGAGCTATGTGCTCAGAGGTTCATGTTTTACCATACATATTTTACCTCAATTAAAAAAAAAAAAAGAGGCTCATGACCCACCAAGGTTACATACAGGAACCCAAACACCCAGGCCCCGAAAGAATCCGGGAAAACCTGAAGGGACTGGGGCAAAGAACTACAAGAAGACTCTCCCCATTTGGGGAGCTAGGACCACTTTCCTCAAGATCTCTGAAGTCAGTGATAACTGGAGAGAGGCCATGGGGAAGGGGCACAGTGAGAGGCAGATCTCAGGAGGAACAAGGCTGGAAAGCAACAAAGCTGGGCGGTGAGCACTGAAGGGCAGCCAGACAGTGCTGAAGAAGGAGGACTGGCCCAAGGGTCAGAAGCAGAGAATGGTGCTCTGGAAAGGGCAGGAAAATCACCCACCTCTGGGCAAGGCACACATAGGAGAAAAGCTGTGTATCTCATCTTCCCTTGGGTGCACTCACCCTGACCTTGGAACATCAAATGCCTGACAAGAAGGCTACCTGCTGATGTCACCATGCCTGGGCGCGAGAGGGCATAGAAGGTGCTCTCCAACTGCTAGCACCCTGCCTGAAAGCTGGTGGATGGCTGGCATGGCCAGTGGCCCTCTTCAGGGCAAGGTTGCCATTCAGCAGGACAGTCCTGGCCTCCAAAGACACTCTCCAGCTCTGGACAGGCCTTGGAAGGTGGTATGAGGCCTCTGTCCACCCAATCCCTTACACAGCTGAAAGCCACCACCTACCAGAAGGCCAAACACCACAGTAGCAAAGAAGCCCCCAATGAAGCCTTCCCAGGTCTTCTTCGGGGACAGCTGTGGACAGAGAGCAAGTTCTCAGCAAAGGGTGTTTTGATAACTATAGCTTTGCGAACAATGATTACTTGTTAAGAACCTTTCTTTCATAAAACCCCATTCTCTTAACCATGTCACCTTTTAAAGCTCCCCCAAATATGGTTTCCTTGTTCCCTATCTTATATCCTCCTCCCTTTGGTTCCCTTTCTGTTTCAATCAGTCATTCGAATAGTTTTATATTAGAAAACGATATACTAATTAAGTGACTACACTCAAATCCAGATCAAAGTCCCAAAAAATGTGTCCCCAAAAAAGATTATATAAATCTGTAAAAATATTTTCCTTTCTTTTTTCAAGACACGATCTTGCCCCATCACCCAGGCTGGAGTATAGTGGCACTATCACAGCTCCTTGAAGCCTCAACCTCCTGGGCTCAAGAGATCCTCCCATCTCAGCCTCCCAAGGAGCTGGGACTACAGGTGCATGCTACCACCATGCCTGGCTAATTTTTAAATGTTTTAGTAAAGGCAAGGCCTCACTAAGTTCCCCAGGCTGCTTTTGAACACCTGGCCTCAAGCAATCCTCCTGCCTCAGCATCCCATAGTGCTAGGATTACAGGCATGACCCACCACGCCCAGCCTATTTTCTTTATTATCTTTTTTTTTTTTTAATCAGTTGTCAGTGTTTTCCTTTGGCCTTTCTCCAGGAAGACATGAAGACATGGCCACAATACAACACAGCTAGATTTCTTCTGTCTGCCAGGCTGATCTACTCACATTGAGAGCACCACCCTCCCCTCACAGTGGTATTTCACATTAGGGTAATCCATTTACCTTGATGAGTGGGGTCCGACCAAAGAAAAAGCCAAACATATAGGCCATGATGTCATTACAGATCACACAAGATATGGGGACAATGAACCTAGAAATGAACCAAAGTAAGGATCAACTCAAGCAAGGTGACAGTACCTCAAAAGTACACAAAATAGTGCCATTCTTAAATTCCAGCACCAAAATCACCCATAAAATTCTGGTAACCCATTAAGGAGTAAGTTAAAAACATAAAAAATACCAAAAAAGTCATACCTAGTACCTAGCACAGAGTACATATTCAAGTGTTTACTGAATGACTACTGAATAAGTGGAGGTTGCAAACTAAAAGGTCATCTGTCCTTTTTTCATGATAAAGAAATATACGTAAACAATGAGAGAAATTTAATTGTAAAAGGAACAAAAAGTTTTCCTTCTTTCTCCCATCCCTATCTCCATTCCCAAAAATAACCACTTCTAATCGTTTCTAATTTTTATTTTTCTAGTGGTTACCTCCCCAATTCTAAATAGTATGCTTTAATGACTCTTTCATTATTTACTGACTTTTCTTGCTGTTTATTACTAGCTCTAGTTGGCCCTATCTTTCCCCAGGACTGTATTTGAGTGTGAAACCCCAACACGCACAGCTAGATTTCCCCTCTGCCCACTCCCCTGCTGATCCAGTCATCCTCACTATGAAAGAGGTGGTTTCCACACTTGTTCTCTCTCTCCTCACCCTCCACTCCCTGACACTGACACTTTTTAAAAAGTTCTTTGATTACAGGTTTGTTTGTTTGTTTCTGTTTTTGTTTTTGAGACAGAGTCTCTGTTGCCCAGGCTGGAGTGCAGTGACACAATCTCGGCTCACTGCAACCTCCACCCCCAGGTTAAGTGATTCTCCTGCCTCAGCCTCCGGAATAGCTAGGATTACAGGCACCTGCCACGCCACCACACCAGCTATTTTTTTGTATTTTTAGTAGAGACGGGGATTTCACTATGTTGCCCAGGCCGGTCTTCAACTCCTGACCTCGTGATCCGCCTACCTTGGCCTCCAAAAGTGTTGGGTTACAGGCGTGAGCCACCGCGCCCGCCCTTTAACCTTTTCACTAAGATCACCTAGCTGCTTCAGTTGGCCAGTGATTTCTATCAATGCTGATACATGAAACCACTGCATTTTTGGAATAAAATCCACTCGGTATTTGCATATTATTCCCTTGACACACTGCCAGATTCTATTTGCTAGTATTTTATTTAGAATGATTTATCTATAATCGTAGCAGAAATGGGTTTATCATTCCTGCTTCTCTCTCCTCATTGGCTTTGGTATAAAGGTTAGATAAAACTCAGCTGTTAACCCATTTGGTCCTGTTTCTCTTTCCAGATATGGAATCTTACATAATTTTCAAAGCTCATTTACAGTTACTGATCTATTCACGTTTTCTTCTTCATGACTTTTAGTATATATTTTGTCAGGAAATCATGAATATTTCCTCTAGGTTTTCAAATCTGTTGCCATACATGTTGCATTGTCTTTGAGTCTTTAAATATTCCTGTACCTATTAGTCTAGAACAGTGGTTCTCAGAGCATAGGTCCTGTCCAGCAATATAAGCACCACCCAGGAATGTACTAGAAATTCAAATTCTCAAGCCTACCCCAGATCTAATGAATCAAAAAGTCAGGGGTGGGGTCCAGCAATCTGTGCTATAATGAACCCTGCAGAGGATTCTGATGTGGCTCAAGGTGAGGGCCACTGGCTTAGAGGGGGGTATCTGTACACGAGAAACACTCACAAAATAAAAGGGAAAATCCAACTCCCAATTCTCACCAGATCATTCCTTCAAATAGGTTGTGGATAACAAGATGTGACTGTGTTACAACAATCAGCAATGTCACATGGGTCCAGCCAAACTGCAAAAAAAAGAAAAATAAACACTACTTACCAGTTTACCTTGAAAGTAACTTCAAAGAACAATCAATACCAAATAGAAAACTGCTGAGAAGCAGGTAGGAAAAATATCTGCTTTTGTATCTGACTTATTGAAAGTGAACAGGTAAGATCAGGCTTCTGAGAGTAATACTTTGTCCCCCACAGCCCACTAGTGAGTGAGCTCTCCCATGCTCTGAAAGCCTGGGTATTTTTCATTTTCTTAGTAGTTATTGAGCACCTGGAGCACTCAGAGAGGAGCTGTTCTCTAGTGAGTCAGGGAATAAGTGGTAGCAAGTGATGTACCAGACAGGACATCTGTGGGCAGTGTCTGAAGCTTCAGCTTGTGCCTTCTCTGGAGCCCACCTCAGGGTCCTAGTGGAGAGGCTGCTTAAGGTGTAAGTAACAGTGACTGGGTCTAAGTCAACGTAGAGCCATTAAACCTAAATGGGCATTCTTCCTTCATGCTCTAGATGCATACATATCAGACCATGTTCCTGAGTTTTGATTTGTCACAGAAAGCATGAAAGGCTTGTTGAGTTCCTGAAAAACTTCATTTAAATCAAGAATTCTGACACACACGCATGCATTTCCTTTACCATGTAGAACTGCAGTCGATAATGCTTCTTGACCAGACTCAGTACAAACATGCAGAATCCTAGTTTGAGGTGGGAGGAGAAAAGAAAAATGAATTATGTTCTGCATTTATCTTTGCCCTCCTTTAGCTATGTTAAGTGGTTCTTTGGCTAATTTATTCCCAGCAGCTAACCAGTGCACAATGTCAAAGCCCAGGGGAGAAAAACATTACCCAGATAAACAGTCACAAGGAAAAAATAACTCCTCCCAAACAGTAAAAGGAAGGCAATATTTTATAATCATGCAGACCACACTAAACTTAGAACATGGTTCATCAGATAGGAATGTTTTATTCCTAGAACATGGGCCAGCAAACAGTGGTCAGGCCAGCTGCTTGTTTTTATAAATAAAGTTTTATTCAAACACAGTTATGTCCATTTGTTTACATATTGTCTATGGCTGCTTTCAAGCTACAACTCAGCAGAACTGAGTACAGTCATGCTCTGAACAACGAGGTTCTCGTCAACAACACACCACATACACAACAACAGTTCCCTAAGGTTATAATACCCATAGATTATAATACCATAAGATTTACTAATTACCATATAGTACCTTTTCTATGTTTAGATACACAAATACTTACCATTGTGTTATAATTGCCTACAGTATTTATTTAGTAAGGTAACATGCTGTACAGGTTTGTACTCTAAGAGAAATAGACTACACATTATAGCCTAGGTGTGTAGGAGGCTATACCATCTAGGTCTGCATAAGTACACTCTACAATGTTTGCACAATGACAAAATGACAACAATGCATTTCCGAGAACATAGCCCATGGTTAAACGATGCATGACTGTAACTGCAAGAGACCCTATGGTCCCCAAAGCCTAAAATATTTACTGTTTGGAACTTTAATAAAAAGTTTGCTGCCTGTTGTGCCTACAGAGTAGCAATTCTTTTATTCCTTTACTTTCTTAATAGACTTGCTTTCACTTTCCTCCACAGACTCGCCCCAAACTCCTTCTTGTATGAGATCCAATAACACTCTCTTGGGGTCCGGGTCTGGACCCCTTTCTGGTAACATCTTTCTGGTGAACCCCAAAGGGACAATACTGAGGAGACCCCCAACCCAAAGGAAATAGACTGCAGCACTGATTGGCTGACTTTGGTTTTTTTCTGCAATTTAGACTGCTTGTTCCTGTGAACCAACCAGTGATCTCTGGCTGCAGCTCAGAAGAAACAAGAGGGATTGGTGATGTAAAAATCTGAATCAGTATTCTAATTCTGGGAACATATTGCAATCAGCTACCGACCCCGTATCAGCTTGGTTCCAACAATTACCCAGTTCATGGAAAGCCTTCTTTAGTTTACTTGGGATAGTTTTGCTTATTTTGCTTTACTGATATGGAATAGTTGTACTATTTGTGTAGGAATGCAGGATAAGCTTACTCAATGTTCTCTTAAACACTTACAAAATCTTCCAGATATCACTTTGTGTCCGAGCTGTGAATAGCCCTAACCATACTGACACTTTCTGACTGAGCTCCTCTCTACCCTGAATACAAGAGACCTCGATAGGTAGGCAGGAATATCATTGCCCCTAATCAGCCTGAAGAAGTTACAGAGGATGGATCTTCGTCCCTCTGCAACCCTTAGGATTAAGGGTTCTCTTATAAAAGTGATGGGGGAAATGTCAGAGGCATTTGAGCTAGAGCAACTCCATCCTGAATAGGAGCTGGGTAAAATGAGGCTGAGATCTACAGGGTCTGCATTCCCAGACGGTTAGGTATTCTAAGTCACAGGATGAGATAGGAGGTCACACAAGATACAGGTCATAAAGACCTTGCTGAGAAAACAACTGCAGTAAAGAAGCTGGCCAAACCCCTCCAAAATCAAGATAGCAATGAGAATGACCTCTGCTTGTCCTAATTGCTACACTCCAATCAGTGACATGGCAGTTTACAAATGCCATGGCAACATCAGGAAATTACCCTATATGATCTAAAAAAAGGAAACATGAATAATCCACCCTTTGTTTAGCATATAATCAAGAAATAACCATAAAAATGGGCAACCAGCAGCCCTCGGGGCTGCTCTAAGGGCCATTCTTTTATTCCTTTACTTTCTTAATAAACTTGCTTCCCCTTAAAAAAAAAAAAAAAGTTTGCCAATACCTGTCCTAGTATTCATAGGGCTGGGAGAAGAGGGATCCACATGGTATAGGGTCAAGACCACCTTTTTATCTCTCTCACAGTGACCTAGATGGTAGCACAACATGTCCGCAGACCCCTTCTCCAGGAAGGAAAGGAACCTTTATCCATAAACATGCGGAGATCCTCAAAAGCAGTTCTGCCCAGAAATAAGCATGTCGCTTTTCCAGACCCCTTACCTCCCACTGTGGAAGGCTGCTTTCGGGGTCTGCAGCATACTCTCTGAATATCCTCAATGGCAGCAGACCCCTTTGCAGATTTTATATTTTAATAGTCAGGTGTCATTCACAGAAGTATTGCTATCAAGCTGATCAAAAATAGGTCAGATTGACATTGAGGTCAGAACAAATTTTTCGTGCACCTCAAACTAGCTTTGAAGGTAGCTATGAAAAACCATCAGCATTATTAGAATTAGTACGTGGCCTTACCTGAATGTATACTAATATAACGCTTTAATGTTTGTGAAGTTTTAATGTATTTGATTTAATCCTCACAGTAACCCTGCAGTTTTAGCTCTAGATTACAAAAGAGCTGAGACTCAGAAATATTATGTTCCTAGCTCCCCCTGAGGTTGCAGAGTCTACGCCCAAATCCAGTAAAATTTCCACCATGCTACAATGTCACCCAAGGCGGTCTCCTAAAATGACTCCCCTAAAGATGGTAAGTTCCTAGATGATTTTTGTTTCGGTCCCACTGCAGAATCTTTGCCAACAGGAGAGTCAGGACAGGACCATGCTGTGCTGTTCCTCAATGGTGGCTGAAACACAGGGGCAGGTGGCACAGGCCACAGTCCTGCCCCTACACTCTGCTTCTCTTAAAAGAGCTCCTACAAGGCCGGGCGTGGTGGCTCACACCTGTAATCCCAGCACTTTGGGAGGCCAAGGCAGGCGGATAAGTTAAACTCGGGAGTTCGGAACCAGCCTGGCCAACATGGCGAAACTCGGTCTCTACTAAAAATACAAAAATTAGCTGGGCATGGTAGCAGGCACCTGTAGTCCCAGCTACTTCGGGACCTGAGGTGGGAGGATCGCTTCAACTTGGGAGGTGGAGGTTGCAGTCAGCCGAGATGGTGCCACTGCACTCTGGCCTGGGTGACAGAGTGAGACCCTGGCTCAAAAAAAAAAAAAAAAAAGGTAACAGCTGCTACAGCTTAACATAGAGCATCAGCTCTGCTCCCCTGCATGGTCACAGTTAATGTCACAAAACTGTATACTAACCAAGAAATTCCCCAATTCCTACCTGACAGACATACAAAAACAATACAGACACAAGAAATGGTGAACTGCTTAATGCATACCTATTAGATAGAGAGTAAAGGAAATGAACCGGTGGTATTTACTGAGAATCCGCAAAGGCTCTTCTCTCTGGACCAGGGTGAAGAAGTAATCCGTCACTGTCTCACCATAGAAGAAATAGTTTACACACAGGAGAAAGTACCTGTAAATGAAGACAGGTCATTGCCGTGGGGAGCACCCTTGCCTTCACAGCAAGGCAGTCAGACATCCCAGAGGAAGGGACAGAGGGCAGCAGAATACCCCCCACCCTTGAGTCCCCCGGGACAGCTCACAGAGCAACAGGCAGACCATGGTTTCCTGCTCTCTGGTGACACCGTAGGTGAGAAATTTATCTAGAAACAGACAGCAGCTTTCATTCACTCTCCATTTCTCCCAAACTTGAGACTCCGTTTTTGCCCCTTTTGTAGCATTCCCATACCTAACTGAGGGATCCTTGAACCATATGACCTTCAAAAACACGCCTCATCCTGCTTCCCCAGTCTCGTTTCCACTCTTCCCAACAGGAACTCCTTCACTCCTATCAAAATGGTTTCTTCCGGCTTTGCCACACCTGTCTGCTGTTCTCCTGCCTTTTTCCTGCTCCTGACATTCTCTTTGCTTCTCCATTTCTTCACTCCTTGCTCAAATGCCATTTTATTCATAAAACTTTGCATGACCTAACATGACATCTGCCTCCCCTGCATTTATTTCTATAGCAAGTAATATGTGATTATCTGACTAAGCAATTAATGATGCATCTGCCTCTCTGAAGCCTGGCTCTGACAAACAGACCTTCCATTAGCGTTAACTCTTCACTTGTGTATTCTCTCTCCTCAACTGGCGTTCATGAGAAGAGAAGCCATCCCTTGCAGCCTCCACAGTACTGCTGAGTATGGCACCATGCAGCCATCACTGCAAACCCCCAGCAAGGATCCTGAGATAGAGAAGAAAGTGGAGAGCTTTTCTTTCCCATTCTTTTTTTTAAATTATGAAGTACAAAAACTCCCATATTGGGTTTCTTTTCTGTTACATGGAAAAAACTTTCTTTGTAAAGTGACCACAGCCAGGAGTCAGGCCTCCTGAGTATGTTAACAAAATGCAAAACACTGCTTTCCAGCTAAAGAACAGCCACAAAAGGGACCTGCATCTTAAGCCAGGTGGCAATCCCAATTCCATCTGGAGGCTGGGAGGCAGCCTGTCTGTTGGGTGACAGGAAACACCTCAGGAAGGGGGTGCCCAGCCTACATCTGAGCACATCGGCTTCCTTGACAGTGACCAGGTTGCTGGGGCAAAAACCACTGCTCTCCAGCCGGCTAAGTCATGGCTTCAACCCCTGTATCCCTGCACAGTGGGGTGAGAAGGTCCACATTTGCCCCAGGTCCTCTCAGCATGGTGCAGTGCTCTGCTCAAAAGTCACCACCTGAGAATACTACGGCCAATAAAGCAGAGTTTCAGATCAGAAAGGGGTCTCAGACATGTGTTACAGGTTTTTCTTTTTGCTTTAAGAAAGCTGAATCCTTTCCCAGGAAACGGAGAAAGCCAACTTTCCCAGCGGAGCCCAGATCCCATGCATTCAGCCTCACTCCTGCCCACTCTGGCACTCAAAACACCTCTGATGAAGTAGGGCTCAAACACCACAGTCTGGAAACCAGTAAGTCTCAACCATCTGTCTTAGAGATAAGGAAACCAAGTTCCAAGGATAACAAGCAAAGCCGGCAGCAGAACCTAACAACTTCCAGACAACTCTAGTGGGATGCTGAGATATGACGGCATGAAAAATATACTGATCTAGAAAAACGGGATCATCATGCAGAGTTTAAGGAATCCAAATAGCGAGGCAAACACAGTCACAGAATGCAGCCCATCTGGTTTCTTCTCAGGAAGATTCCAGACTTCAAGTAACTATAAGACTCCTGCAAGGCCAACCACACAGTCTGGCCTATGAAATACTCAGGTCTCAAAGGCACTGTGCGAGTCTGTGGCAATCACCTCTTTTCTCCTGCCTTTTTCTCTTAACTTTCTCTTAACATTCTCCTAACATTCTCTTACCCATTTCTTCACTTATTGCTCAAATACCATTTTCTTCATGAAACTTTGTATGACCTAACATGATAACTGCCTCTCCAGCATTTATCTCTATAGCAAGTGATAGAAATACCCACCGTCACTGTAAGTACCTGCCACAAAGCACATCATCCAAATTCTAAAAGCCTCTGTGGGGCCGGAGAGCTTACCAGCTGAGCGTCCTGAACCAGGGCAGATCATATGAGTGGTAGACGTTGTAGCCAATAGTGATTATCTCATGGAAACACTTAATCTGAACGCACATCACCTGCGGGACACAAAACATTCACTGACACCCCAATTCTTATGATTTTTGGAAATGGAAACCAACAGGTCATGAGCCTTCCAGAAAACCCATTATACTTAAGAAAAATATCGGGCCTCCAGTGGTTCTGCTTCCCTCCTTCTTCCTCTCTCATACCATCCCACAGAGCAATGCAGCCCTCTATGTCACAGGGAGTAGATCCAATTTTCCACTCACAATAAAATACACACCCTGATGTTTCAATTAACTTTTTTTTTTTTAAGACAGGGTTTCACCGTGTTGCCCAGGCTGGTCTTGAACTCCTGGGCTCAAGCAATCCACCTGCCTCAGCCTCCAAAAGTGCTAGGATTACAGGCGTGAGCCACCGCACCCAGCCAAAAGGATTTTTTTTTTAAGTAGAGACGAGGTTTCACCTTCTTTCCCAGGCTGGTCTCGAACTCCTGGGCTCAAGTGATCCTCCCGCCTTGGCCTCTCAAAGTGCTGGGATTATAGGCGTGAGCCGCCATGCCTGACCCTCAATTAACTTTATTCTAAAACCTCCTTTTTAACTTTTTATTCTAGAACCTCCCAGGATTCAACCAATCCATTCTCCTTTTGACTCTGAATACTTGAAAAGTCTCAAGTATTCAAAGTCAAATGCTTTGCTCACATGCAGCTGATGGTCACCTGACCCTGTCCAGGACAGTGGGAAGACAGACAGAGCAGCTCTGTGGACTGGGATTTCCTTAACAAAAGCTCTAAGCCCAGAAGGGAGGCCCCAGGAAAACAGGAAACGAAACCAGGAGTCATATAGAGACATGCCCAGGGTAAAAGTTTACAGAGTTGGAATAATAAAGTCAGTTTTGTTTGTTTGTTTGTTTGTTTTGAGATGGAGTCTCACTCTGTCACCCAGGCTGGAGTGCAGTGGCATGATCTCGGCTCACTGCAACCTCTGCCTCCCAGGTTCAAGGGATTCTCCTGCCTCAGCCCCCTGAGTAGCTGGGATTACAGGCGCGTGCCACCACGCGTGGCTAATTTTTGTATTTTTAGTAGAGACAGGGTTTCACCATGTTGGTCAGGCTGGTCTCAAACTCCTGACCTCGTGATCCGCCCACCTCAGCCTCACAAAGTGCTGGGATCACAGGCAATAAAGTCAGTTTTTTAAAAGAAAAGACACTGAGACATCTTCAACCATAAACAACCAGCCTACACCAATGACCCTCCAGGTGGCTACTGAGAAGTGGGAAGTCACAGATGTTCTATGGCAGAGGTTTTCTGAGAAGCCTGGACCCCCGTCAATTCCCACAACCAACCCAACACCTCGCACTTAAGACAACCGGGCCTGCAGCAAAAACTGAAGGGAAAACTAAAATAGTGTGAAATGGCACTTACGATTATCATCAAAACCATTGGTCCCAGGTAAATGATGATGAAGAAAAATGCAATCATGGCCAAAGTCAGGATGCCTCTCACCCACCAGTTCTTCCATCTAGGTCAGAGAGCAGGGGAAGGAGAAAACACCAGTTAGGAGCCCAGAAAAAAACCAATGCACAAACTCAAGGGATATGGATCTTCCTGAGATGAGGGCCCTGAGCTCAGTCCTTTCCAGATTCACCGTGACGGAGGCACCAGCCACATGCTGGCAGGAGCAGGACCACTAGTACCAATGCCTAAGTCACAACCAAACTTGGCAAAAAATAAACCTAGCTTATATCTTAAAGAAGGTATCAGGCAAAACACAAACAAACAAAAAAACCAAGGGAAATGTAGTGCCCTCTGCTTCTGTATCCACTTGGATGGTTTCTACAGCTGACTATCTGAAGAAAAAAATATTTTTTTCCAGCAGCAGGATCCTACACTGCACTGCCCTGAATAATTATGGGAATAATAGTAACATTATGCAATGATAATAACAGCTACCATAAATATGCATAATTTTTTTTTTTTTTTTGAGACAGAGTTTCCTCTGTAGCCCAGGTTGGAGTGCAGTGGCACAATCTCAGCTCACTGCAAGCTCCGCCCAGGTTCATGCCATTCTCTTGCCTCAGCCTCCCGAGTAGCTGGGACTACAGGCGCCTGCCACCACACCCAGCTAATTTTTTTGTATTTTTAGTAGAGACGGGGTTTCACCATGGTCTCGATCTCCTGACCTCCTGATCCACCCGCCTCGGCCTCCCAAAGTGCTGGAATTACAGGCGTGAGCCACCATACCCGGCCTGAGTAAGGTAATTTTATGAGGACTTTACATATATTAACTCCTTCAATCCTCAACACACTTCGCTTTTACAGATGAGGAAATGGAGGCACAGGTCAAACAGCTGGCAAACAGTAAAGCTGGGATCTGAATCCAAGGGTCTGGCTGCAAAGTCCACGCCCTTAACCACTGCACAATTCAGACTCCCAAGGGGACAGTTGGAGGCACACATAGGAACACTGAGATAATGCTTTGGGGTCTTATAATGTGTTTTTGATCTACTCACATAGCTGTGTTAAAAGAACCAGGTTCTCAAGGGCCAAAAGTTTTAACACTAGATTCACCTAGGTTAAGATGTTTCCCAGTTCTTCCTGGAGAATTTAAGGAACTGTTCACAAAGGATGTGAGAGAAACTAAACTCTGAACTGGAAACGTGGACTCCTCAGTGAAAAGCAGCCTGCCCATTAATCGCAAACCCAAGGCTGGTTTCCTGTGCTGTGCAGTGTCAGCTGACCTCACCCACCTCCATCCCTCCTGTCCCCTCTTCCTCTTTGAACTGCACTTCCTAGTCCAGTCTGAAGCACCCTTCCGGGGCCAGATCCTTCCAGCCTTGGTTGCCCTCCCCTCCTGGTCACTGTGCTCACTGCCACTGCTAAGCACTAGATTACACTCAATGGAGCCTGGAGCAGTGGCATGGGAGGCTGAGGCAAGACAGCGGGCCTGCTCTGCAAGACCACGGGCTCTCTGCAGGCTCTTCCAGGGCACTTGGACATGGTGCAAAGCCCCCAACAAGCACCTGCATCATTAAGCCAGGTTACCTTGAAGACAAGTTGGAAAGGGCCCTATTGAGGACCTCCGGGGTATCATCTGCAGAGACTGGCAGGGGTGCGGATTCTGCCCGGCTCTCACTGTCCGATGCAGTCTCTCCATCTACCTTTGCTTCTGACTCTGACTCCTAAGTGGCAGAAATACAGAAGAGAAAAAGGTCAAAAGTGCCGAGTAGACCATTGAGAAGTCTATGCCTGTCATGAGAGATCTGTGGGGAAAGACTCCAAACAGGGCCTAAGAACCTGGCACAGTCAGGTGATGGGACTGACAGGACTAGCAGCAATCCTGACACTGTTGTGACATGTGCCAAGGTGGCCAGCCACACTCTGCTGGAAGAGAGGTGTGCATCTGCACCGCGTACCATCTGCTTAACCGCAGAGGGCAGATCCAAAAGAGAGAGAACATGGCTCCTTTGTATCCAAAGAATGCAAAAGGGAGGCTGGGACCGGTTTTAACAGGAGGTTATCCCTGAGCCTGCTAGGGCAGCCAATGGCACTGACCAGGCTCTCTCAGGGGAAGCCAGGTGGTGAGGCTGTTGCCCCTGTAGACCTGTTAATGTCAACATGTCCCAAGTCCAGAGTGTTATTTCCGGACTTCACTAGAGCACTCTGTGAGGAGGTCAATCACAGTCAGTGTGGACAACGAACCAGACAGCCTACTCCAGACAACGCTCGAGCCAGGACTGGTGCACCTCAGTCCTTTCCCTGCCACCAGGCCCTGGGTGACAAAAGACCCACAGGAAGTCACCCTGCTCCCAGCCTGGGTGAGGGAACCAGAGCCATGCCAGCAGCAAGCTCTTTACCCAAAGTATCAAGGGACAGGCTATTCTGAATCCTAGGAACCATCCTACCACTCAAGTATTTTCTTTCATAGGGGAATTCAGAATAGTTGCTATGAGAAGAGGTGGAGGAGAAAGTAAATCACTTAGAGTAACAACACTACTTAGTATCTGTATAGCCCTGCAAGGTCTGAAGAGCCTTTCCCATGCAAGCTTCAGAGCAGTACTGGGAGGAAGGGAAGGGACAGGAGAAGCCCCATTTACAAATAAGAAACGGGATCTGGGAAGTTCAATGCGTGGCCCAATGTCTCATATTAACCCAGGTCCTCTGACTTCCCTGATGACTGATGAATACACGGAATTGTGACTGTCTCACATGTTCACTGGCCACTTGGTATCTTCTGTCAAGTGTCTGTCAAATCACTGGCTAGTTTTTCTACGGAGTTTTCTGCCTTCCTTTTTTTATTGATTTGTAGTGGTTTATGTGCTCCAGATTTGAGTACTTTGTGTTACTAATATGTTCTCTCAGACTGCTCTAACCCCCACCTTCACCTCAGGCGAGGTTAGACACCCCAGTGATTTGCTCTCTTAACACTAGAACCTTCTCCCTCTCAGCGCTGACCACAACGGGGACTTTTGTAAATGTCTCCTTGGCTGACGACAAACTCCTTAAAGACAAGAACATAACTTCTTGTTCTCATTATCCCCATGCACGGCACACAGCAAAACACTTACTAATGGATGGAAGAAGAGAAGAATTAGGTCCAGGTGTGTAAAGAAAAACCCAGCCCCTGCCCTCAGGGAGACAGCTCTTTCTAAATTAATTTACAACTGTGACAAGACAGAGGGCCTTAACTAGTGCAGATGAGCAAAACAGAAAAACAAAACAGATTAGCAACACAGAGGGCCTCGCCTAGTGCAGACTGCTGATAAAAAAGAGACAGCTGGCTTTGGTAAAGGCCCAATAAAGACGGCCTCATCATTAGGATCCAAGGGAGAGAGCCACAGCTTCTGAAGACACAGACTGCTCCCTACTCTGCCACAGTCGAGACAGGTGGCTCTGGATAAGTCACCCAAGTGCCTCTGTACTTTGGCGTCTTCACCTTATATAAGGTAAGGACCCTCCTTCCCATGGGGATTCCTTGAAGCGACATAACCAAACTCTCACCCAGGGCTGTGTCCCAGTACACCACTCCAGAGTTTCTGAAACACAGTAAGGTCTCCAGAGTCGTCCCTCTCCAGGGAGACTAAATGAAGACAAAGCATTCACAACAGCTGTCCAATCTTTATTTCAACATTGACACCCACACACCATCGGCAACCACCAGTTGCCAGTAATATTACGGTAATCATTGCGAGTTACAAGGTAATGATGCTGCCTGATCACCTGGCTTTGACCTCTAAAACCTCGGGGCTTCAAAATGCTAGCACCTGGACCCCACTGAGGCTCCCACAGATGCATTCAGGAGCCTCTAGAAGCTGCAGGGACTGCGCTCCAGAGCAGCAGGGGAGAGGGCACTCACACACAGAAAGCCCGGCACAAGGTTATTTTTAACTTATCCATCCTGTTGTCAAGGAGACTCACAAAGGCTGCTAGTTCCCCAGGCAGGGAAGGACAGGAACGGAACCCAGGCAGCGTCCTGCGAGGGAGGAGCAGGCAGCTCCAGCTCCGTGCTAAGAGCCTCTCTGGACCTTCCGTTAGCCCAGCACTGCATCCTGCAACACTGTCAGACCTGACTCCTTCCTTGTAGGAAGGGGTGAAGTGAAGAGGGGTATCCAGAGGCAGAGAGTAGTAAAAGGAGATAGAGAACTGTTACAAAGATATCGCAACTATTGTTACCAAGACCTCAGGCGGACTGAGCTGAACAACTAAGAAATGAAGTATGTGTCGAGGAATTTATCCATTTCTTCTAGATTTTCTAGTTTATTTGCGTAGAGGTGTTTATAGTACTCTCTGATGGTAGTTTGTATTTCTGTGGGATCGGTGGTGATATCCCCTTTGTCATTTTTTACTGCGTCTATTTGATTCTTCTCTCTTTTCTTCTTTATTAGCCTTGCTAGCAGTCTATCAATTTTGTTGATCTTTTCAAAAAACCACTGAACAAACAAGCCTGAAAGAGATTAACTTTCTAGGTTTTTGCTACCTTTAAGTGAGTAACTCCAGGTTCCCTGGGCCTCAGCCGGGCCTACTGAGGAAGCATCCTCTGAGCAGGAAACCAACACCAACCTACAGACCACTCTCTCCCACATGCTGAGACAGGGCCGAACAGGTGCCAACGGCAAATCCCTGTGAGCGGGGAAACTGCACAGCCTGGGGAAGACACAGAGGAGGAGGGGGACAGGTCAGCCAGCCACCTGGCTCCTGATGTCCTGTGGACGCCAAAGGGAACAGAAACCTGAGAGAAAGAACCTGGAGGCCTGCAGTCTTCCAGCTCCTCCCCACCCCGTGGACAAAGGCATTCTGCTTGGAGACACAGTTGCTCATACCCCGGAAAAGGAAGCTGAGTGCCAGCGGCAGCTTCCACAGAGGGTCTGGAAGCAGGCAGGGACCTGGAACCCATGCTCCTTCCCACAAGAAAGGTGGTACATGCTGAACACATTCATCAGTTTGCTCCTCTGGGCACAGCGAGGTGGGGAGATGTCAAGAAAAACTTTCTGCAGAATAAGGCAGTGGCCAGTCCAGGAAAGCAAGGCCCAGGGCCAGCTCTGACACTCATGACACACAGCACAGGCCTCCATCCTCTGGTCTTCAGCGGCGAAGGAATCCCTGTCTCGGAAGGTTGTTGGGATGACCAATGCGACCCCGATGAAAGGCTATGAAAACTATAAAGTACTGAATAGCAGCAGGTGCCTGCCGCACTCCCCTGAGTAGCCTGACCACAGCACACAGGACAGAAGCACGAGACCCTAAAACACCCACCCCAGACAAGCTGGGCACCCTTCCCAAGGAGAGCATCAGGCCTTGCTGGGGCCAAGTGCTAATAAATGATCTGGGCACAGCATTTGCCTACCTTGCTTCAAGCTCTTTCACACTGGTAGCCCCGACTCAAAACTGTGTAAGGTGGTGTCTGAAACACAAAAGCTACCCATTAAAGCAACAGTCCATGCTAGTAGACTCTGAAGCTGAACCATCTGCCAAAGTGTGGGAGGAAATCTTAGAACTCATCTCTACTTACCTCATTCTTCTTTTCTTTCCCATGTATGCTTTGTAATGGGCATTATCAAGACATATGCATATGTTCATGAGTGTAAACTGGGAACATGGTAAAAACACCATATACATGTCAGACACGGCAGTGTGTCAGAGGCCAGGAGTTACCTGTTCACCACTGCACTGAGCAGTGCCTGGAACATAGCAGGTGCCCCAAGATTTGTTGAACTAATGAGCTAATTAATTCTACTTGACCTATGATGGACCAAAGTGTCCAGACTACACTGAGATATGATAGTACCCACTTTCCTGCTCATGTGCCTGACTGGTGCCCCTGCAGCAGCCCTGGCAGCAGGACCAGACCAGCATCCACTCCTGCCTCACTCCTGGTGGGTACTGAGACCAGCACAGCAGGGAGAGGCTGCCCTGCCTCTTCTGACTCATATCCACCCAGCTCCCAGGCACCCCTCCTCCTTCCTTCCCTTTCAATCCCGAGGGCCGGGAACAGAGGCCAGGTGGGGCAGACCCTCTCAGGTTCTCTCTCAACCACCGCCTCCCACAGTTCCTCAGCCATTTCCCAAGGGGGTTGTAGTGCTGGTATAAACAGGAAACAAGAGTGCTGCTTTAAAGGAAGGGGGAAGCTCCTCTGAGGGTCCACCCCTTTTGGTTTACACAGACCCTCTAGAGAAAGGCAGAAGCACTTAGGATGAAGGACACATGGAGTGTCCTGTGTACCAGGGGCTCAGTTAAGAGCCATTAGCATTTTTGGAGAAACTCATGCTCAGAAAGCTTCTCCACCAACTGCCCAGAAGCTTCCCCACACCCAGCACTGACCCAAAGATCAGAACATAACAGAAGCAAGAGAAGGCAGTGAGGGAGGGCCAGAGGGAGCAGTGGGCAGGAGGGGATGTTCCTTGTGGTTAAGGTCTGGCTTTTCCTGGGGAGGGACCTAGCTCAGTCCAGAACAGCATTTGTGGAACTCATTTTCACTATCAACTCTCTGGGAAGAAAACCCTGCTGTTTGGGTTTCCTGCCAGCCTGGTGGGAGGCTTCCTGGACAGCATCCTTCTGAGGCTCCCTTTCGGTCTTCACTTGGTGCCAGGGGCCCACCCTCCTACCTGGATATTTCTCAAGACTCTGACACCCAAAGTAGTGATGGTCAGTGTTTGACCCAAAAAAGTGTGGCTGTGCCCATGGCTAGAGAGAATCCCTTGGGCACTGTGTCAGGCTCCACACCGGTGGAACCTATCCTACCCTATACCCCATTTCTTTTTTTTTTTTCTTTTCTTTTTTTTTTTTTTTTGGGGGGACAGAGTCTTGCTCTGTCATCCAGGCTGGAGTGCAGTGGCACAATCTTGGCTCACTGCAGCCTCCACCTCCCGGGTTCAAGCGATTCTCCTGCCTCAGCCTCCCAAGTAGCTAGGATTACAAGTGCCCGCCAACACGCCCAGATAATTTTTATATTTTTAGTAGAGATGGGGTTTTGCCACATTGGCCAGGCTGGTCTTGAACTCCTGACCTCAGGTGATCCACCTGCCTCGGCCTCCCAAAGTGCTGGGAATACAGGCGTGAGCTACCGTACCCAGCTCCATACTCTATTTCTTTACCAGATAATGACTCAGCTCTGGACTACACTAAAGAAAACATATTAATATTCTGTTCATATTTGCCTAAGAGGAACTAAAAACTAGGGAAAGAAAATAAGCAGTACCATCATTCAGCTTTTCTTCTCTTTTTCTTTCTTCTTCAAGGAAATTTCATTAAAAGGCAGACTTCAAGGCACTGGTGGGTTATGCCTCCAACAACTCTGCCTTTCCCACTGACACTGCATTCAAATTCACAAGTTTCACTGACTAACTTCATAACCTACACAATTTTTTGCACTGCTTTATATGCAAATTATCAACTTTCTCCTGGAGGAAAGTCATTAGTCTAAGCCTAACTTTTCTGCTGAATACCATGGCCTCCATCTTCTAGATCAAGCCCTGTGACCAGCTGCCAGGGAGGGCAACTCCCCACTCACACAGGATCCTAGGAGAGAAATTACCAGAGATGGGTTTATCCTTAATAAGCATCCTTAATAAGTGTCAGGGACTTAGGTGGCCCTCTCAATGAAAAAGCCAAGTAGGCTTTCATCTGAGTTCCTACTGAAAAAAAATATACATATATACATATATATACATATATCTGGCCAGTGTGTGACAGCATCCATTTGTGTGTGTATATTGTTGGGAATAACAAAGAAATACTTTTAGCCCTAATACTAACTCCATTTGACAAGTTCAATTGTCAGAACAAAACACCAAACAGAAGGAGGACCCCACTCTGAATGAGTTCACAGTCATCCCCAGTATGGCCATACCCTGTCCTTCAAAAGCCTCACAGCAATAATGGGATTCAAAGAAAATGTATTCAGCTACCCAGATGGACAGCTTCACTTCCGGCATCTCTAACAGGTTAACTGCACTCAGAGAAAGGACAAGAAAATACATGAATGTGGCAGATTCAGCTTCTTAAAACCTAACTGGCTGTGAGCCATTCTGTCTCCAGATAAAGCTATTTACAAAGGACCACAGGGGACTTGGTAGAGGACACAACACTGATGGCAAAGGACAACTGTCCCCAGGACAGCCACACTCGGAGTCAGCCATGTGCTTGCCATGCCTTCTCCTCCCACCTCCTTAGAGACTCACTCCATTGCCCTCTCCATCTTCTCATCTCTCTCCCTCACCACAGCCCTACTTACAACCATCTAGGCAGGCTCAACAAACAACTTCTGACAGCTCATCCAACCAATGCACTTTCTTCCCCACTTCATGGGTAAACCTCTGGGAAGAGCTGTCGACATTTCATGTCCCCTCCCTGGCTGTGCATCATTCCTCAAACCACAACAACCCAACTTCAACCCCACCTGTTCCACTGAAGCAGCTCTCCCAGGTCAACAAGGACTTTGTCACGAAACCCAGCAGGGACTCAGTCCTCACCTCGTTCAATCCCTCAGCAGCTTTTAATGCTACTATTGAAAAACACTCTTCCTCTGGCTTCCAAGCAGCACCTCCCCCTGGGTTGATGCCTGCCTCTCTGGCCAGGCATCTTTAGCTGACCTTCTCCTTAGGAACTGCCTCTTCATCAGCCTGTCCCCGCATTTGAGGGTTCCTTGGGGTTGGTCCTAAGCTCTCTTATTCTTCTGCTGCCTCCCACTCTCCCTGAGTTTCCCCATTCATTCTCATGCTCCCTGCTGTCTCTTCTTGAGCTACAGACCCTAAATCCAAATAACTACTAGATGTCTCCACAGACACCTAAAACTCACCATGTGTCCAAAACCAAGCTCATCATCTCTTCCCACAAACCTCTTCCTTCTACTATGTGACTTATCTTAGCAAATGGTACCCTTTCCCCGAATTTTCAAGAGAACAAGGTGGCCATCACCCTTAGTGGCTCCTTTCTCAGCTTGTAGATCTGTCACCAAGCTTGTTCATGCTACCTCCAAAACAGCTTTCAGTTGCATCCACTCCTTATGCCACCTGTCATTCCCTTAATTCAAGCCAACATCATCCCTCCTGAGTAACTGCAACAGCCTAACTGGCTACCTCACCTTCAGCCTAGAGTCCACTCCCACCTACGCTCTCGCCACTGCAACACGAGGACCTTCCCAGAAATTCTGATTGTGTCACTCTCCATCCTGAACCCCTTCCACAGCTCCCCAGTACCTAGATGACAGGTCTTCAAAATGGCATACAAGCCCCTTGAGATCAGGGTCTTATCTACTCATCCAGCCTTATCTCTTACAGCCATTCTGAACTAGAGTCAGTTTCTAGAACAGGTTGTACTTTCTTACCTTTAGGACTTTTGCTCCTGTGTTCCTACTTAAACAGTCTGCAAACCACCCTCTACTAAAACCCACTTCTCTTCCAGCAAATTTTCCTTGATCTTTTAAGAGTTCCCTTTCTCTCCAAATCTTCCCCAACTGCCTGTGTGTCCCAGCGGCCCCTGTCCTTCCTTAGGAGTGCTCCCCACCGTGGTTCATGCCTGTAATCCCAAAACTTTGGGAGGCCAAAGTGGGAGGATCGCCTAAGCCTAGGAGATTGAGGCTGCAGTGAGACCTGATCATGCCACTGCATTCCAGCCTAGATGACAGAGCAAGACCCTGTCTCAAAAAAACAAAAAAACAAAAAAAGACGGCTTCCCACACCGCATAGTCTCCGCCTCGAGACCATCATCTCTGTGGGGGAGCCATGTTGACTTCCTCACCACTGTACCCCCAGCACCTGGCCTGGCACCTAGAACCACATCTGCAGAGGCAGCCAGAGCCAATGATGCTGAGAGAATCCAGGGTTTGCTGAAGTGGCAGGTGTAGCTGGGCTACATGTCGCGTAGGCTGACAATTCATTTTTGCACTCAGTAGCACTAGAGGAGGCATTTTAGGGCTGCAGCCAGCTGTCCCACTGTTTATCTCCCCTTCTTCTTAGACATTTGTGGCCAAATGTATCCTAAGCAATACGGGGGTTTCCAAAAAAAGTACAGAATCTGTATGTCTCAGAAAGGATGAGGAAATCCTGTCTGAAATCCAGCTTCTAGGAATGCAAGGCTTTCTAACTCAAATACGTACAGTTGTACTGAGTCCCAACCTCTGCATGACTGCCAGTCTCATACATTAAACCCATAATTTTTGTGACAAGGAATGACCAGGAATCCTTTCTCCCAACACTCTCTCCCACCTTGCCCATTGAAGCCTCCTTCTGGAGTAGATGCATCTGTTTACTAACAGCAAGCATATGACTATAAATATGAAATAGCTGCAGGAAGTACCAACCTCCATCACAAGCCATTACTTAATTCAGAACAGAGACTATCAGAGACAAGAAAACCACTCAGGTCCCCAGGAGGCTCTGCCAACGGCTCTGTTCCGATGACATCACTTGTTTTCCTATTGTCTTCCAGGGTTAGGGGAAAGACACCAAAAATCAGAAGCCCCACTGGAGTCCAACGGGTCCTTCTATTATCAGTTCCTTAGTCGGGCATCTCTATTTAGTATTTAAGGGAAAATGAGTTTTCAGCGCTACTGGGGAAGGAAGGAATTTTTTTTTTTTTTCAGTTTATTAAGATAAAGCTCTCCCAAGGAGGGAGTATGTCTAATACTGCCAAAAGATCTAGTAAGATGGAGAAGAAAAATATATTCGCAATCTCAAAACTGGGCTCAAGTGTGCTCCCCAGACCTCTGTCAGGAAGTAGAACCAGGACAGCTGCTGGGCTCCACATGCGACGAGCCCCTAAATCATAAATCGCCATCTGGTACCTGCTTCACTGTCACTCACCTCACAATAGTGTTTTCTACAAAGATTCCTAGACAAAATAAGTAGACATGAGAGCAAATGTCCCCAGTGTCTCATGCCCCAACCTCCCCTACTCCTGTGGGCAGACAAGCACCCTGGGGCTGTTTACCATATTGGAACATTATATTGTCACTTTTGTAGTATTCCTGGTTTATAACCAACCATCATGGAATCAAGTACCAATCAAATAGACTGTAACTATTCAAGGGAGAAACTAGTATGTTTCTCCCTTGAAGAACATGGAATTAACAGTGTTCTCAATCCCAAATGTGTCATATTAGTTATAGAAGAAATTATGGGGTGGGTGCGGTGGCTCGTGCCTCTAATCCCAGCACTTCAGGAGGCCAAGGTGGGCAATCACCTGAGGTCAGGAGTTCAAGACCAGCCTGGCCGACATGGTGAAACTCCGTCTCTACTAAAAACACAAAAATTATCCAGGCGTGGTGGTGGGCACCTGTAATCCCAGCTACTTGGGAGGCTGAGGCAAGAGAACTGCTTGAACCTGGGAGGTAGAGGCTGCAGTGAGCCGAGTTTGCACCACTGCTTTCCAGCCTGGGCGACAGAGCTAGACTCTGCTTCAAAAAAAAAAAAAAAAAGAAAGAAAGAAATTATGAAAGCCACAATGCTAAATAGTTTCTTTCTCTTTTTGATAAATCACTAAGGATACCTGGGGAAAAAATTAAATTGAAAATGAGAAAGTCTTTGAAGAAACATTCCTAATGGCCAACGATAGGACAATTTGAGCATTAAAATAATAAACAAAAAGTGATTTAAACACAAGTATATGAAAATTTATGAGTTCATAATGATAACTGTAAGAAACTACTGGCCAGGCGCAGTGGCTCACGCCTATAATCCTAGCACTTTGGGAGGCCGAGGCGGGTGGATCACCTGAGGTTGGGAGTTCGAGACCAGCCTGACCAACAGGGAGAAACCCTGTCTCTACTAAAAACACAAAATTAGCAGGGAGTGGTGGCCCATGCCTGTACTCCCAGATACTCAGGAGGCTGAGGCAGGAGAATCGATTGAATCCGGGAGGTGGAGGTTATGGTGAGCTGAGATGGAGCCATTGCACTTCAGCCTGGGCAACAAGAGCAAAACTCTGTCTCAAAAAAATAAATAAAAATAAAAACGAAACAAAAAAAACTACTTTGGCCACCTCTGAAGGGTGCTGAAACACCAAATCTTTTTTTGAAAACCAGTAATTAAAAGGAAAGAGCCTCTCTACATTGCCCAGGCTGGTCTCGAACTTCTGGCCTCAAGTGATCCTCACGCTTTGGCCTCCCAAAGTGCTGGGAGAATAAGCATGAGCCACAGTACCTGGCCATCAAATTACTTTCAAATATCCATTACCCCAGCAAAGAAAAGTCAATGTGGCCTCAGTATGATCTCCCTAGGCTCTGGAGACTAAAGTGCATCTTCAAACATAAGTAAATAAAACAACCTCCATGCTGCCAAATCAGACAGATTCCCCTGCCTTCATCTTATCATATATCTTGGCAATGTCAGATCTAGTTGACCATTTCCTCCTTGAAACATTCTCCTCTCAGCTACCTCCATACCATACTTATCAGGTTCTCACTCTACCTGACTGGCTGCTCTTTCTCAGTCTCCTGTGACTTTGAAGTCTACCTGACTTCAAAATGTTGAATGGGCCCTGGGCTCAGTTCTGGACCTACCACACTCTCTCCCTAGGTATCATCATCCAGCCCCTTGGCTTTAATTACCAATTCCATGCCAATGACCCCAACATTTGTATCTCCAACCCCAACTTCTCCCCCAAGCTTCAGATTCATATTTCCAACCACTTACTGACATCTCCACGAGAAAGTTCTTACAGGCATCTCAAAAGTAACACATCTAAACAGAACACTTTTGACATTGTCCGTAAAACTACTGATCCTGAAGTCTTGCCTAGTCAATCAGTTGACAGCATGCGAGTCTATATACCCTGCATAAGCCAGAAACCTGAGAGGTAGCGATTGAATACCCCTTAACCAAAATGCTTGAGACCGGAAGTGTTTTGCATTTCAGAGTTCTTTTCAGAATTTGGAATATTTGCATTATACTTACTGGCTGAGCATCCCTAATCAGAAAATCCTAAATTCAAAATGCTCCAATGAGCATTTCCTTTGAGCATCACATTGGCACTCAAAAAGTTTCAGATTTTGAAAATTTCAAATTTTTGATTTTGGGATGTTCGACCCTTAATTCTTATCTCCCTATCTTCCCCCAGGTACTGGACACTGCAGTTGGTTCCCTCCTAAAAATCCATAAACTATTTCATGGTATACAGCAGCTTGTACAGTCTACTTATTTTTAATTCTGCCCCTCTGCCACAGTGATAGGTTCACGAACAGGCATTTACCCCAGCCTAAGGCAATGTGCACCTTGACTGTTTTGGAGTAGGCACTTGACCCAAGATGGTACAAGCAGTTCAAACAGCAAAAATAGCTAATGGCATTTTAGGCTATATTAACACAGGCATGGTCTGGTTCTAGTTAGCGTTAGTCAAACTTTACTTAGAGGCCAAGTACGTCCAATAGAGTGGTTAAAACAGTAAGGAGACAAAAAAGAGCAAGACGATAAAATGAACAGATGAAGAAACCAGAAGGGCTAGGCCTGGAGACAACTGGGAAATGAGCATACTCTACTGCAGTACTGAAAAGGAGAAACTGGTTTTATGTCCCTAACAAGGAAAAATTATTAGGTAAATTACGGTAAATCAACTTTCTGTGCAGCTATTAACAAGACTACTATAAACACCGTGCAGCAACATGAAAAAGGCAGAATATAAAACTATGTCTATACTGGATTATACTACTTACACAAAGTATGTGTCAGTTATCAATGGATTGCCTCTCAATGTATGTGTCAGTTATCAATTGATTGAATCCTTGGGACTCTGCTGGGCTTGGATCAATCCCTTTCAGGTCCACTGCTACCTCCAGGTTTTGTCAGTATAGAACTTTCTGCAATAATGGAAATGTTCTCTCTATACTGTCCAATATGAGAGCCACAGCTGTGTGTGGCTTATTGAACAATTAAAATGTGGCTAGCGAGACTAAGGAAGTGAATTTATGTATTTATTTTTAATTAAATTTAAACTGCCACACACTTCACATCCACTAGAGTGGCTATTTTCAAAAAAGAAAAAAGAAAAACCAAAATAACAAGTACTGGAGAAGATGTGAAAAAACTGAAACCCTTGTGCACTGTTGGTCAGAATGTAAAATAATGCAGCTGCTATAGTAAACAGCCTGGCAGTTCCTCAAAAAATCAAATATAGAATTACCACATGACTCAGCAATTCCACTTCTGGGTATATACCCAAAAGAACTGAGGGCAGGGACTCAAAGAGATATTTGTACACCCATGTTCATAGCAGCCTTATTCACAATAAACAAAAAAGTAGAAGCAATCCAAGTATCTATCAACAAAGGAATGAACAAAATGTAGTATACATATACAGTGGCATATTATTCAGCCTTAAAAAGGAAGGAAATTCTCACACATGCTACCACATGGATGAACCTTGAGGACATTGTGCTAAGTGAAATAAGCCACACACAAAAGGACAAATATATGATTCCACTTACATGAGGTACCTAGAGTAGTCAAATTCGTAGAGACAGAAAATAGAATGGTGGTTGTCAGGGGCTGGGGGAGTGAGAGGGGAGAGTTGTTTAATGGGTACAGAGTTTCATTTGGGGAAGATGAAAATATTCTGGAATGTTTGTTCTGGTGACAGTTGCAAAACAATGTTAACGTACTCAATGCCATAGAACCATACACTTGAAAATGGTTAAAATTATCAATTTTATGATATATATAATATTTAGCCACAGTAAGAAAAGGTTTAATTGGCCACATGTGGCTAGTGGCTACTATACTGGACAATGCAGACAGTCTAACAGCTGTATCCACCCCAACCTGCAACCAGGAAGAAAACTGCTAAGGCTCCCCAAAACTCTGGTTCCCCTACTACTGTGAGGAGGGGGCTAGAACCCCCAACACCACCTCAGCAACCTACAACTTCTAGTCCTCAACAGCCAGGTGAACAGGATTCTGAACAAGGTTCAACCAGTCAAGGGCAGACCTACCCCTTCAGCAAGCATATGAAGTGTTAAGTAGTTGCAGGGCTAAGAAAAGACCTAAGCAAAGCCATCCTCAGCAGAGATGCCGGCTCTCCCCTGCCTTTCTTTTAAATTTAATTCAGTGGCCAGTTACTACTCTGCCTTTTAATAGCAGCAGCAACAGATGAAACAGTTGTGATTCTCGCAGCATCAAATGGCAGTGGCACAAACAGCTCAGCTTCATCATCATCGGCATATGAGCAGCCAGTCAAAAACTAAAATGAAGAAGGCATATCAACCACTCCAATATTCTGAATCTTGCATTATTTTTTCCTCTTTTTTAAAAACATAAGGGCACTGAATCACAAGGATTCTGAGTTTTTACTTCATTTTTAAAAATGTGTCAGTAATTTATACTGCTAAGATGTACAAACTTTACACAGGTGCACAACCCCATTTTTTTTAAGTAAAAACAGGGTAATTATTTAACAAACTAGGGTTGGTTTGCTTTTTAAACTGCACATAATATATATGGAAATGACCTAAAAATTACTAGAAAAATCTTTCAAAAGAACCCAGTTTGGTATATATTTTGTAGAAAAGGTTTGTGAATAATGTAACAAATACAATTTTTACAAATCTGTTTTGGGGGAAAAGAGGAACAGAACAAAGCAGTTACCATCTGCACAGGCATTATTATTCCTTTGACATCTTGCTAATAGTCTGTTAATGAACATCAAAACACCTAAAATTTTCTTCTGATGCTTTACAAAGATTCCTTACACTTGTTTACATGCAAATCATCCAAAACAAAAAGAAAAAAACTATAATATACTTTTAAATTACTGAACTATAAAATTTTAACATAATTTCATCTTCAAATGAATTTATCAAGACCATTGAGTCATTTTTTGATGCTTCTCTGTTCTACATTATCTGACATAAAATTTATGTCACACACTGGGGCCTGTTGTGGGGTGGGGGGAGGGGGAGGGAAAGCATTAGGAGAAATACCTAATGTAAATGACGAGTTAATGGGTGCAGCACACCAACATGGCACATGTATACATATGTAACAAACCTGCACGTTGTGCACATGTACCCTAGAACTTAAAGTATAATTTAAAATATATATTAAAAAAAAGAAAATGTAACACATTAGATTTCTGATATTAATTTGAAATGAATAACAAAATTTAGTCAAGTTTGTAAAGGTCTTAAATGTTTGATAAAACTTTACTACAAAAAAAAAATTCAATCTGATTTTCAAAGCGGCTCGCTTATCCTTCTGTTCCATCGCAAAGACACATGGGTTAAAGCAAGGTTTTCCTAACATCAAGTGCCTCACCCTCACCTGTGCTGAGATAACAGCGTGAAGGAGTCTCAATTCATCTTCACTGTCAGATTTAAATTTTGTTTGGAGAACCCCTAACGTATCAGCAGAGAACACAGTTTGCAAATCACTGCAAAACACCACCATATATCTCTGACAAATGAGTTATTACTACTTGAGGATGCACCTTGTAAGATACAACGATCACCCAGTATTAAATTCCTACTGTGTCCCCAAACCGCTAGCTGCTCAGAAATTGGCTGTGTTCTCATTCTGTCACTCCAACCAGAAACTGGGGTACATAGTGGTGGCTCTGTTTGTACATATCAAACCAAGATTCACAAGCTTTACTGTTAATAGAAAAGTCTACTTATAGTCTTATATCCTGAAAATATGTCATTTGACAACCTGGAGACCAGAGTCAAACAGAATCCATTATAATCTGGAAACAAGTGAAAAATCTTGGTGAGATTTTACAGGGTTGTTTAAAAAATGATGACCTAGGCCAGGCCCAGTGGCTTACACCTACATGTAATCCCAGCACTTTGGGAGGCCAAGGCAGGTAGATCACTTGAGGTCACGTGCTCAAAATCAACCTGGACAACATGGTGAAACCCCGTCTGTACTAAAAATACAAAAAAATTAGCTGGGCGTGGTGGCAGGTGCCTGTAATCCCAGCTACTCAAGAGGCTGAGGCAAGAGAATCACTTGATCTCGAGAGGCAGAAGTTGCAGTGAGCCGAGACTGTGCCATTGCACTCCAGCCTGGGCAACCAAGAGCAAAACTCTGTCTTAAAAAAAAAAAAAAAAAAAAAGACCTAAAGCAGGAGCCAATCTTTTGGCTTCCCTGGCCCACACTGGAAGAAGAATAACTGTCTTGGGCCACATATAAAATACACTAACACTAACGATAGCTGATAAGCTAAAACAAGCAAACAAACAAAAAACAAAAAACTCATAATGTTTTAAGAAAGTTTACGAATTTGTGTTGGGTCGTGGGTCAGACAAGCTTGAACTAAAGGACCTAAAATGATAATCTGTCAGTAACAAGCTCCTTCAGAAAGAAGTGAAATAAGTGCCTGCCACCTACCCCAATCTGAAGTCTTGGCCTACGGTGGTCTGCATATTTATGTCTCCCCAAAATTCATACGCTGAAATCCTAACCCCCATCTCAATGGTATTAGAAGATGGAGCTACTGGAAGGTGATTAGGTCATGAGGCTGAACCCCTCATTAATGGGATTAGCACCCTTATAAAAGAGGTCCCAGAGAAATCCTTCTTCCACCACATAAGGACTCAGTGAGAAGCCCTGGATGAACCAGAAAGCAGCTCCTTACCAGACACTCAATCTGCTGGCGCCATAATCTTGGACTTCCCAGACCCCAAAACAATGAGAAATAAACTTCTGTTGTTTATAAGCCACTGAGCTCATGGTGTTTCATTATAGTAGCCCAAACAGACTGAGACATGGCCTCTCTTTCCCTGCCCAGGCCCCAGGTCCCGCATCTTCCAGTGCTCTCCTATGCCAATCAACTCCTCCTTTCTCTGCCTCTACCATCATGATCCTTTCTCTCAGATTTTTTTCCACTCTTCAGATGTTTGTCCTAAAACCATTTTTCTTTCAACTCCATTTGGCCTGGAGCCACCAATCCACTTCTCCCCCTCTTTACTTCCAAACTATTTTACAAAGTCTGCACCTACCATATGTCCCCAAACTTCCCGAGTCTGGCTTCAGCCTACACTGTGTCAGAAAACCGTTTCCTGAAAGATTAACTGCTGACTGTCAAGCCCCACACACTGTTCTCCAGCATCCTCACAGCCATCTCAGTAGCATCCAACCAATCCTTGCTTTGCGTACCACCATTCCCCCTCCCACCCAGATCCCTGGTGCCCTGAACATTTAGTGTCTTACTACCTAGCTTTGTTCCACTCTGTGCAGTAATGGTCCCTTTATTTTGCTTTGGAGTACTCTTCCCACCCCCTACTCCAAGTGTAGGCACATAATTTAGACCTGATTCATCAGAGCACTGTGCTCCCTTGACCACAGTGACCAGGTCAGAGATGACAAGAACACGTAACAGCAATTTCCTGTGCTTCTGGAGCCACCAGGAGGAAGGCATGACCTTTCCCATGGGACTTTCACCTGCTGGCCAACATCTTGCTACATCTAGCTACTACCATTTAAAACCCAAAAATGAAGCCAACATGAGGGGGAGCCAAGAGATGGAGGGAGACCAAAGCTTGGTGACATTTGAGCCCCTGGATTAAACCAGGCCTGAAGCTAGAATTACCTTAGTCTTCTAAGTTACATGAGCCAATGGATTCCTTTTTTTCTTTTTAGTCAATGTGACTGGCTGCCTGCATTTACAATTAATCGCATCTGAATCCTCTCCAATGACATCTTCTCAGTTCTTCCTCCTCACACTTCCTAAATGCCAGTAACTCCCCCAGGCTGTATCTCCACACTGCCCCTTAGTGAGCTGACCCTGCCATTCAGCCTCTCTTCTGTGGACCAGCTCCCATAACACGAGTTATGTCCTCTCCTCCAAGCTCCAGTGCAAACTTTCAACCTGCCAACAAGATACCTCCAACTCAGTGGGTTCAAAAACAACCACCATCTTTCCCACCCACACTAGTTCATCCTTCTGCTTTCCTTCAAGACCCTAATCTCCCTGAAATGTGCCCCATGGAAAACACTGTCCGCATCACTGTTGCCAAATCCCCTACCCTACACACCTCCTCAGTTCTCACACTATGCAGACCCTTTCATTTAGGGTCTTTCCCATTCTCACAGCTAGCACCCTTGCTGAAGCCTGCAGATCAACCCTTCACTACTAAGCTGGCCTCCTAATTGGCATCTCCACAAATTCCTCCCTTCTCTCATTTATTCTCCATACACTACCATATTAATCTTCAAAAAGCACAGCTCTGATTACATCCCTCCCCCATTCATTTTTGCCTAATGAATTAGACAAACTGTTCCCATTCGAGGTCCTCCACAATCCATCCTAGTCCATCCCTCACACCACCTGCTCCAGCCAAGCAAAACTGCTGCTCTCTGTTCCTGATTACATCTCACCCTTCCCTCATCTCCCCCTTTACTCTCAGTCTTTTCTCCTCCCTGTTCACATCCCTAGAAGCCACTAAGAAAAACCTCCTGTGATTGCTGTCTATGGGTAGGCAGAAAACTCCCCCCAACAAAATTAATTCACTTCCTAATCCCTGGAAACTGTGAATATTATCTTACATGGCAAGAAGAGTATTACCTTACATGGCAAAAGATATGACTAAGCTAAGAGAGAAGGGATTTATCCTGGAGTATCCATGTGGGCCCTAAATATAATCATGTATATCCCTACGAGAGAGGCAGGAGATTAGACACAGAGGAGAGAGCAATGTGAAGACAGAGCAGAGATCGACATGGCTACAGCCAAGGAATGCCAACAGAAGCCAGAAGGGAGACAGCTACATCCTCCCTAAAGCCCCCATATGATTTTTTATGAGTTATATTTACAGTAAGAGGGCACCTTCCATAATTTTAGACTTTGAGATTATAAAAAGTAGGGACTGCCTTATTCATCTTTGTTTACCTTGAGAGCTCCTTGCCTTGAACCTGTTAAAAGCTCAAGGAGTAATTTTTTAAAAAGAATGAAATCCGTCAACCTTTATCTACAAGGCCTGCAATACTGGCTTTGCCGGCATTTGTGCGGGAAAGACAACCTTAGAGCTACAGTTACATAAATGCAACTAATGACTAAAAGCACAGCATTTCAGCCCTTCCCAAAGGTTAAAATGACTTGGGGTGGGGGAGTGCCTCCAAGGAACCACCATAAAATGGAGGGTGGTAATAAATGAGTTGCATTTCCCACAGCAGCAAAGGTGCTGCCAGGGATAATGACTAAGTAGGCAGAGTAAAAACTTTTAGAGTCCTAAGCGGTTCAATCTTGCCCTATGGAACATATAGGTCTATAGATGTTTCCATTTGTTTCCCTTGAATAACAGGAAATGCTCTAAGCAGAATCGGAACAAATCAGCTGAGCGCAACGGCTCATGCCTGTAATCCCAGCACTTTGGGAGGCCAAGGCAGGCGGATCGCTTGAGCTCAGAAGTTTGAGACCAGCCTGGGCAACATGGTGAAACCACATCTCTACTAAAAATGCAAAAATTAAATGAGTGTAGTGGCACGCACCCGTAGTCCCAGCTACTCGGGAGGTTGAGGTGGGAGGATCTCTTGAGCCCGGGAGGTGGAAGCTGCAGTGAGCCAAGATCACACTACTGCAGTCCCACCTGGGTGACAGACTAAGACCTTGTCTCATAAAACAAACAAACAAACAAACAAAAAGACATCTGTCCTTTGTGCCAACTGGACAGCACACTGGAATGCTCCTTCAGACACTGGCACTTCAAAAGGCTACATCCTATTAAGAAAAACCAGTTTTATTCTTCTAACATCACTACCACCTGAAATGACTGCACATTTGTCTATCTCCTCCATTTGGACGAATGCTCAGAGTGGAAGAGACTTTGTTTATTCACTGCTATATCCCCATGGCCTACAACACAGCCTGGGACACACTTGCCCTGACAGTGTTTCCAAGCTGCCTCTCTCCCAGAGAGGCAGAGAACTACCAAGGGTGGTGAACCCAGAAGGTCAAGGCTCTTAGAATGAAAGCCTCGGCTGTGAACTACCACAGCCAGTGAACACTTCACAGCCCAAGAGAGCCTCCAGGCTCGGCAACTGGGGAAAAAGTTTCCAGGTATGGGCTATGGGACTTCTACTCCCAGAGGTGCTGGCTGGGAACAACAATCTCACAATCAGACAAGCTTGCAGATGACAGGACAGCTTAGCACTCAGGCCCTCCACATAGGTATTCTGGAGCCTAAGGGAGACATGAGGTGGGAACGGGGTGGAAAGAAATCTCTCTATAGGAAAAGCCTACAGGCAAGGAAGGAACTGCAGGTCAGCACAGTGAATGAAGGTGGGAAGCTGTGCACAGTCATCATTTGTCATACCTGCATGCCACCTGAAGAGCTTCATCCTATTAGGGGGAGGCCAAAGACAAATATCATGAAAGTTTCCAAGCCACAAACCTCCAAAGCAAAAGCAAATGTCTCTGACTCAGTCACAAAAACACAAACCAAAAACATTCTCAGTACTTAAGAATGGTAAGATCAGGAACTCACTAAAGCTACATTAATAATGAATATCAATCTTGTAAACACATTAAGGGAGAGTGATAAACAAGACATAAAACAAAAAGGGCTGCAACTGTCTTTCCAAAGCAAGTCATTCCTCATCTCAGGAAGAAGAGTAGCTCAAATGCATGGGAAAAAGCAAACAGTACAAGCTATACGATCTTGGGAGAAATCTGACCACTGGGCCTTAGCTTTTTCATCCATAAAAAGGAATTCCTAAGAGTTATTGGGAAAATAAAACAAGGTTGTGTTGTTTAAACTATAGGTTGAGACCTACCGGGTCTTGAAATCAATTCAGTGGGTCACAACTAGCAAAATATAAAATAAGATATGGAGCCAGAAGTCAGGCTAGTGGCTCCCCTGAGGGGAGCAGTGATTAGGAGACATCAGGAGAGACGCTTCCCTGGGACTGGTGCCATTTTGCTTTATCTTGATTGCAGAGATGTGCTTACTTTATGAAAAGTCATTGTAAAAATATGATATGTACGCACTCTATACATATGTTATACTTTAATAAAAAGTGTACATAAAAAGTATAAGATAGACTCAAACAGAAAAGAAAACTTCCGAATATATCACAAACAGTAAGTACTGCTTCCTGAAACTTTTGTTTCCAAGTGATCTGTGCATGCAAGGTGGTATTGGGACACACTGTAAGTTGTATTTACTCCTGTGGATCAAAGTTCAAAACTAGCCCCAAAGGCCCCAAGACAATCCAGACAAAATATTGTAAACTAAACTACACAAAAGCCGGCTATTATTGTGGGACAAAACAGGAGGGACAGGAGATATAGTATTGCTGACCTTTTACAGATGAGAACCTAAAACACAAAGCAACAATGCCCGTGTGGTACAAATGCATACTAAATGGCATGCTTTTCCAGTTACTCCACTTATATTTTGAGACTTACCCACACCAAGCTGTCCTCATTTAAAAGGCTTCCTCTTTTCCTCCATAATCCTCAAGAGGAGGAAGAAAACCAATCAATAAAGCAAAGTTTCTGCCTAGAGACTAATTCATGTGTGTGTGCGTGTGTGTGAGAGACAGAGTCTCACTTTGTCACCCGGGCTGGAGTGCAATGGCGCAATCTTGGCTCACTGCAACCTCCGCCTCCCGAGTTCATGCAATTCTCCTGCCTCAGCCTCCCGAGTAGCTGGGATTACAGGTGTGTGCCACCATGCCTGGCTAATTTTTTGTATTTTTAGTAGAGACAGGGTTTCACCATGTTGGCCAGGCTGGTCTCGAACTCCTGATCTCAAGTGATCCACTCGCCTTGGCCCCACAAAGTGCTGGAATTACAGGCGTGAGCCACCGTACCTGGCCTGCCTGGAGACTAATTCTTATGCCAGTTCAAAGAGTATCCAAACTAAAGATGAAACGAAAGTACACCAAGATAAACAGGAAATGCTGTCTTTGAAACAAAAACCATAGGACACTAGCAATTAAAAGGCTGCAATCTTGGCCAAAAAAAGAAATCCTTAAAGTTATCAAACAAAAGGGTGGGATTCTTTAGAGATGAAAGCTTAAGAGGAATGAGTTGCAGTTCAGTGCTCTCATCACTCCCCTACTCCTAGTTAGTTTATCAGCACCAGGAAAAAAAGAAAAAAAAACTTGAACAAAAATATACTTGTATCAATGTCACCAACGATGCGTATTTTAAAAGATCATTGCCTGTTTTTGTTTTTTTGTTTTTTTTTTTTTTAAAAAGCCATGGAGTCAGACCAGGCGCAGTGGCTCACGCCTATAATCCCAGCACTTTGGGAGGCTGAGGCAGGCGGATCTTCTGAGGTCGGGAGTTCAAGACTGGCCTGACCAACATGGAGAAACCCTGTCTCTATTAAAAATACAAAATTAGCGGGGCATGGTGGCACATACCTGTAATCCCAGCTACTCAGAAGGCTGAGGCAGGAGAATTGCTTGAACCTGGGAGGCAGAGGTTGTGGCGAGCCAAGATCACACCATTGCACTCCAGCCTGAGCAACAAGAGCGAAACTCCGTCTCAAAAAAAAAAAAAAAAAAAAAAAAAAAAAAAGACATGGAGTCTAGGCCAGGCATGGTGGCTCATGCCTAAAATCCCAGCACTTTGGGAGGTGCAGACAGAAGGACTGCTTGAGGCAGGAGTTCGAGACCAACCTGAGCAACACAGCAAGACCCCACCTCTACAAAAATTTTATTTATTTTTTTTTTAAGAGATGGGATCCTGCTATCTTACCAAGCTGGACTCGAACTCTTGGGCTTAAGCAATCCTCCCACTTCAGCCTCCCAAGTAGCTGAGACTACAGGTACATACCACCTTGCCCACTGATCACTGCATTTTAAATCTTAGTTTTAACTTTGAATTAAATGTAGTAAATGAAGTAAATGTAATTTAGTACATCTTAGTAAACATTAATTTTTATCTACTAACTTACACAGGAATGGTAATTTATGTTGTGCGTTTAATTTGTATCAAATTTGATTTTTACTTGATATTCTCTAATGTGTCCAAACTTGGTACACTTGCATCAGTTTTACTTTTTCAGTTTTATAAATTCTAAGTACTTTTTAATGAAATATTGGGACTGATACTAAGTATATCATATGTCAATGTAGCATTAACACTGTCAACTTAAGGTGGCATTTCAACACTAAAAATAAACACTAACATGGCAATATTTTATTTTGCTGCACAACAAATTCCTCCCGAAACCAGAGGCCTGGTTCTCACTGCCCAGGCAGTTGCTAATCTTCACAGCTGATTTAGTACCAACTCAACCTCCTGACAACCATACGTGCTAGGAACAGCCAGGTCTGACCAGCAAGGAGTTCTTGACCAAGTCAGAAGGTGGCTCCGCATGTGATCTCTGGCTACTTTGTTCCCCTGATAGTTTTGCCCTTCTGCCAGGAACCCTATGATGAATCAGCATGCCTTTACTGAATCACGTGGGAGCTACAGAAATCGAAGACAAAGAACCTGACTCCAGAGACCATCTGCTGAGGAGACAGCACCTAATGAGGGTTTGGACAGTCAATTTCCAAAGAAGCCTAGAGAGGAGACAGAGATGAGGAAATGGGGTGGGAGCGTCAGGAATGCTCCACAGCAGAGGCTGGGGCTGGGGCTGAGTTGGGCCTCGGGATGAGGGCACTGTGCCACACAGGCCTGCACTGCTCCAGGGTGCCCTTGCTTTCGGCCTGCAGGCCCCATGGAACCCAGTGGCCCCTGTCACCTCCCCTTCTCTCCGAGACTGGGTACAAAGTAAGGCAAGGGCTGCCCCACTCCTCATGGCCCTGCTGGCTGACCCTGAGAAACTTGCAAGTCTTCCCTGTGTTAGGGGCTCTTTGGCCAACCCGTGGGAGAAAAATGACTGGCGGAGACCAGGAAGCTAGGAAGGCAGAATCGTAACGCAAAGAACATGGAACTGAGATTCAGCACACCTGGGTTCAAACTCCAACATGTCAAGTTACTGAATTGCAGGTCTGTTTGCTCATCCCGGTAAAACAAGGGCCAATGCTTCTGATAATCCAGTGAGCCTGTTTCTAGAAATGGACACAGGCAGACAACTGGTCATTGCATGGTCAGCCCTGCTGAGCAGCCAGCCAACACAAAGCCACACCCTGCCCCAAGCCCTCCTCAGTTATCACAGTGGCAGCACTTTGAAAAATGGATCGTTTTTTAAGATCCTTTAAGAAAATACCACATTTTAGATCTCTACTTCACACCCCATTAAAAGATATTCCAGATGGATGAAAGATTTCAATGTCAAAAGCAAACTATAAAAATACTAGGAGGGCCAGGAGCAGTGGCTCACACCTGTAATCCTAGCACTTTGGGAGGCCGAAGTGGGTGGATCAACTAAGGTCAGGAGTTCGAGAACAGCCTGACCAACATGAGAAACCCCATCTCTACTACAAATATAAAAATTAGCCAGGCGTGGTGGCAGGCACCTGTAATCCCAGCTACTCAGGAGGCTAAGGCAGGAGAATCACTTGAACCCGGGGGGCGGAGGTTGCAGTGAGTCAAGATCACGCCACTTCACTCCAGCCTCGGCAAAAGAGCGACGTTCTGTCTCAAAAAAACAAAAAACAAAAAACACTAGGAGAAGGCTGTGCATGGTGGCTCACACCTGTAATCCCAGCACTTTGCGAGGTCGAGGTAGGAGGATCACTTGAACCCAGGAGTTTCAGACCAGCCTGAGCAACATAGTGAGACCCCATTTCTAAAAATAAACTAAACATATAAATTAAGTACCTATATGGTGGGGGAAGCAAGGAGAGGAGGACTAAGGCCCTTCTAAGCATGTCATCACAAGCAGAAACAAAGGAAGACTCATAGGTTTAGCCAAAATAATACTTCAAATGGAACAACACTAAAAATGACAAATTGAGAAAAATCTGCAGCATGTAACAAAGGGTCCAACTTCTTCAACTATTTAAAAACCTTACAAGTCAATAAGAAAAATGTGAACATGCCAATAGGAAAATTAGCAAAAAAGAAAAGCCATTTACCAAATACAAATAGCATGTATATTTAAATATTCAACCTCACTAATAATCCATGATATAAAAAATAAAACGGCCACGAGAAACAATTTTTCTCACATCAGGTTGATGGGCCAGGTTTGGAGAAAACTAGTATACTATACTCAAATAGTACTCATGGAAATGGAAATTGGCACCATTTCATAGGATCGCTTGAGCCCAGGAGGTCAGGGCTATAGTGAGCCATGATCGTGCCACTGCACTCCAGCTTGGGTGACCACAGCAAGACCCTGTCTCCAGGAAAAAAAAGAAAAGAAAAAGAAAAAAAAAGTCCCTAGAAGAGACTAGTACCTCTGAAGAAACAGTCCTTGGTAAGTTTTCAAAACAGTTACTCCTTAGTGGTATGTTTTCAACAGAGAGACCACTGCGTACATACTGAAAAAAAATCTCTGTACCGAGAATTCTGTGGAACAGACAGGAGATAGAAATAGCAACTGTTCAAGAGAAAACTGGGTGTTTGGCTGACATCCCTGTGAGAAAACAAAGCTCAGGCGGCTTTTACGCTCCCAAAATCACAAGAGGGGACAGATATTGACCCAACCACGGTGCAAACCGCATTGTAGGGGGAGATTCTACTCAAAGTGCCAAAAGATCAGCAATGAGGAGGGATTGCAGGGCATCTACATGCCACCCTCACACTGGAAGCAGATTTATGGGACACCATAAACCTACAGTTGAAGGGACTAAAGACTCATTTTTTAAGCCGTCAGAGTTAAGCCCATGGAAAAAAACTGGCCAGAAGCAATCAGACATCTGGCCAGCCTACCAGTCTCCATGAGCCTCAGTTTCCACATGTAACAAAACAGATGGCCTAGACCTATTTCCTAACCTTATCCTTTCATATTGTTGCACCAAAGACCTCTTATTTTGAAGACTGTCTACTAAACTGCATTAGTGACCCATTCATTTCCCCAGAGAGAAGTGCCCCCATAAAGCTGATAAGAGCCTAACCATGGCATCCTCAAAAGGCCCTTTAGACAGTAGGACACCTGGGTTTCAATCTCAGCCACACTGGTACCTGTGCCACCTCCAGCAAGTCATTTTGCAGCATCTAAGGAGGAGATATTTCTGTTGCAATGGCAGGAAGGGGGTGCAGCTGCAATAACTTGAATCCAAAGTCATCTTGTTAAAGCAGCCCCATTACTAGCTCTCTTCAACAGGTCATTTCCACACAATTTTGTAAGAGCTCAAGATCATGTTAGATAACAATTACTGCTCTTAGAGGTTGCAGTGAGCCAAGATCATGCCACTGCACTCCAGCCTGGCCGACAGAGTGAGACTTTGTCTCAAAAGAAAAAACAACAGCAACAACAACAAAAAAAAACAATCACTGCTCTTAGAGATCAAAAGACACAAATCAGACAATGAGGGACACAGAGCTGAAAGACTGGTTTTTCCTCTACTTTTAGAAAAGTGTGCCCTGCCGGGTGCAATGGTGTGCCACTATAGTCCCAGCCACTCAGGAGGCTGAGGCAAGGAGTTCAAGACCAACCTGGGCAACATGGCAAGACTCTGTCACCAAAGAAACAAAAAAAGAAAGAAAAAAGAAAAAAAAAAATGTGGCCAGACAGGGTGGCTCACACCTGTAATTCCAGCACTTTGGTAGGTTATGGAGGGTAGATCACCTGAGGCCAGGAGTTCGAGACCAGCCTGGGCAACATAGGGAGCCCCTACAAAAATAAAAAGAAAGAAGTGGGCCTGGACATACTTGAGAGCTACTGAGATGCAGGGAGTTTTCTGCAGATTAATCCCTCTATTTACCACACGTTTATGTACCACACACCAAAGGACCTGCAAGGCCTGTGCTCTCCTGGGCTCCACTACTGATGTGCAGGCAGCTGCTTATGACTATACTTGACCCCCCTCTTTCCTATCCCCAAACCTACAAAACAGTTCCCCTTCCCTTTCTGCCTGGCTGTCATTGAATCAGCTCTTACCACTACTAATGAAGACTCCCAGCAACCACAACTGGTCTCATCTACTCTCCATCCTTATAATCTCCCAGCATCTCCTCTGTATTGCATCTTAGATCTGTCCATTTTTAACAGGCATCTTCAGGCCTTTAAGAGTTCTCAGAGACTGCTAGTTGTCTCCCAACATCCATTCTCCTTTTCTTCCACTGTAATAGAAACCTCAATGCTTAGCCAAGCACATGACCCCTCAGGAGGGACATTTCCCAGCTTCCCTTGCAGTTAGGTAAGAACATGCAAATTAGTTCTGGCCAATGACATGTGAGCAGAAATCATGCGTTTTTCAGAAAGTATCCTTACAGGAAAGGAGCAGACCTCTCTCTCCTTCCTCCTTACTGAAGTATGAAGTGATGGCTGGAATTCTAGCAGCCATCCTATACTAGAGATAGAAGCCACACACTCAGGAAGGTAGAAGGGCAAGAGAGTCAAAACCTGAATCCTACACACTGTGAAGCTGCTAGAATTCTGACCTCCAGACTTCTTTTAAGTGAGGAAAAATAAACTTCTAGCTTGTTTATTATATTTAGTTTTTGGTCATTTGCAGTTAAACAGACATGGACTATTTTTTGGTATAAAAGCCTGAAATTTTGTTGTAATGGTTTAAAGAAACAGGTTATAAACGCAAAGTGGTAGTTATTTCATAAAAGAATAGACGCTAAAAAAATCATAAATAACAGCAACATCCAGAAAATAGCAAATGTATTTTATAAAGGTTTACTGCTCAAAAAAACTTAGGTCCTATTACCTAAGATGACAGCATCTTCATCTGTCATCTGGGCCACCGTGGGAAGCACACAAGGGTGGGATAAACCACGTCTCCTTACGCTACTCAACACCCTCCCATTGCACTTGACACTGACCTCTTCCTCCCTCTCAAAAACATTCAGGCTTTGGTAGCACCCCAAACTCTCCTGACTCTTTCATCGGTTTCCTTCCCTGACTCCTCTGCTTCATCACCCACCTCAAACTAAACACAAGCAATTCCCAGGGTCATTGTCAGCACCTGCCTATCTTAATGCCAAGAGCAGAAGCCCAGAATTCACAAGTGTCATCAATCAAGAGGAACCATTTTTATCCTTCATCACATACACAAAACAAAACTAAAAAATGTCAACAAAAGTGTTGCAACTGCCTGCTTCTATGTTGTAATGCCAGCTCAGTTTCTCAAAATTGGATGGGCGCAGTGGTTCATGTCTGTAATCCCAACATTTTGAGAGGCCAAGGTGGGAGGATCACTTGAGCCCAGGAGTTTGAGACCAGCCTAGGCAACATAGTGAGACCCCATCTCTACAAAAATTTAAAAAATAGCTGGGCATGGTGGCGCATGCCTATGGCTCCAGATCCTCCATAGGCTGAGATGGGAGGGTTGACTGAGTGTGGGAGGTCAAGGCTGTAGTAAGCCATAATTACACCACTGAACTCTAGCCTGGGCAACAGAGCGAGACTTTGTCTCAAAAAAAAAAAAAAAAAAACACAAAAAGCAAAACACACAACTTGGAACTTCCTGCAGAAGATAGGAGATAAAGCCCATGCTTTGGGCCCCAATATCCCAATGAAATGAATGTCAGTAAGTACAGCAAGGAAGGACACTATGGCCTTAGAAACAGCAGGGGACAGGCATCACCAGTGGATGTGAGATTTCAGCAAATTTCTGGATGACAAAATAGTCTGAAGAGCTAAGATGGATGAAACAAAACAGAAAATGCAGCCAAGAGTGTACTTCAGGAAGGCTCTGGAGGAAGAAGGAGCGTCTGCCCTCTGAAACCCTGGAGAAGCTCCAGACCAATATCTGGCAAACGGGATAGTGGATGAGAGCAAGAACTAGGGATTGTAACAGAAATTGAAGGTCTGTACACTGAAACAACTATGCAAATTACAAGCTCTATTCCCAGACTCACCTGCAGAGAACGTGGCTATTCCTCCAGGCTCAAAACTAGTTTTATCTTTAAATAAACCAAACAGACCATCTGGGTTAATTTAAGCTTCCAGCATGAATATTGAGCGCTAGAATGGAACTCTCCCAATTCTTGGATTTGGTGGCGGGGGCGGGGGGGGGGGTCTTTCCTTTCTACCCATTCGCCCTAAAATGAGGTCTACCGGGCAAAAGACTCCATCTACGCGCCCAGAGATCTTAGTCCAATTTCCACTCAGGAGAGAGGTGAGCCAAGACACTACTGTGTCTTGTCTCCCCATTCTTTCCTTGTCAGAATAGGAAAGCTTATTTTGGTTATTCTGCCCTACTCCATCCTGTTCCTCTTCCACAAATGCAGTTGGAGGGGAAAGGGAGGACAGATAACCCTTTGGTGCACAGTCACTAGACCTAAGAAGGAGACTACTGGGCATTAAACTGTGATGCTGAACTCTGAGCCACTCACAATAGTAGTAACTGGATGGGGCTTCATGCTGCCTCACTTAGGGAGGAAGTGTTATGTTCTGCAAGCCAGAGGGGAAAGGACCGGATCAAGCCAACACAGTTGGAAACCCTCTGCAGTTAACATTTTCCTGGGAAGACATACACGGATTGTTAATACACAAACTTCACAGAATGCATGTAATCCTCAACATGATGGTTTCAATGTTTATATGAAAAAAATGTACATTTTGTCTCAAAATTTACTCAACATTTTTAACAAAGAAACATGTAGGAAAAGTTTCATGTTGAATTTCAAATAACACTGGAAGAACGTCAGAATCATTACTCATTTTGGTAAGTATGTCAAATCTCAAAAGAGATATGTAGTCTCCAAAGCAATTTCTTTCATTCTAAACCTTGGTCCACCAAGGTTGGCCATCATAGGAAGATTAAAGTTTGCGAGTTCAGGGAGCTCCACAGGAACACCAACACTAAGGCGACCTCATTACCAAGTGTGACCATCTGCCTAATATGAACTCCATTACTAGGGGGGCCATATAATATATCACCCAAACTGGGTCACTTGAGAGCAAAAGAGTATGTCACCCAACTCACCCACGTTATCACTTTCTACACTCACTGACAATGGCTGCTTCAACCCTCTCCTTGATAATACAGTTCATTAAAGTAGTTCTTGAATTACTGAGGATCCCAATAGTTGTTTATGTAGATTATATCTACAGAAGAAATTAAAACCAAGAAGTTTCTAAAATACAAGAATACCCAAGTGTGGCAGTTCCCCAAAAATTAAACAGAATTACCATATGATCCAGCAATCCAGTTCTTCTGGGTATATACCCAAAAGAACTGAAAGCAGGCGGGGGCGTGGTGGCTCATGCCTATGATCCCAGCAGTTTGAGAAGTCAAGGTGGGCGGATCACTTGAGGCCAGCAGTTCAAGACCAGCCTGGCCAACATGGGAAAACCCTGTCTCTACAAAAAATACAAAAATTAGCAGAGCATGGTGGCACAGTCCTGAAGTCCCAGCTACTCGGGAGGCTAAGGCACAAAAATCGCTTGAACCCAGGAGGCAGAGGTTGTAGTAAGCCAAGATCATGCCACTGCACTCCAGCCTGGATGACAGAGCAAGACTCTGTCTCAAAAAAAAAAAAAAAGAAGAAGAAGAAAAAGAAAAAGAACTGAAAGCAGAGACTCAAACAGATATTTGTACACTCATGTTCCTAGCAGCATTATTCACAGCACTCCAGCCTGGATGACAGAGCAAGACTCTGTCTCAAAAAAAAAAAAAAAAAGAAGAAGAAGAAGAAGAAAAAGAAAAAGAACTGAAAGCAGAGACTCAAACAGATATTTGTACACTCATGTTCCTAGCAGCATTATTCACAATTTGGATTGTTTGAAGTTTGGGGCTACTACAAAGAACACTGCTTTGAATGTTCTGGAACTTGACTTTCAGTGAATACATGTACAGATTTCTACTGGGCAATCACCTAAGAGTGGAACTGCTTGGTCACAAAGTCTGTGTATATTTAGCTTTAGTAAATATTGTCAAGCAGTTTTCCAGAATGATTGTGCCAATCTATACTCCCTCAAGCAGTCTATGAAAGGTCCTCTTGCTCCATATACTTGCCAACCGTCAAAGTTTTCATTCTTTTTAATTTTAGCCAATCTAGTGGGTGTGCAGTTGTATCTTATCGAGGGTTTTAATTTTGCACCTCTCAGATGGCTAATGATACTAGGCATCTTTTCATGTTTATTGATCATCTGAAGTGCCCATTTTTGGCTGGGCATGGTAGCTCACACCAATAATACCAGCACTGTGGGAGGCTGAGGCAGGAGGAATGCTTGAGCCCAGGAGTTCAAGACCAGCCTGGTCAACATAGTGAGACTCTGTTTCTACAAAAAAATACAAAAATTAGCCAGACATGGTGGTGTTTGCCTGTATTTCCAGCTATTAGGGAGGCAAAGGCAGGAGGATCCCTTGATCCCAGCAGTTTGAGGCTTTGGTGAGCCACTGCACTCCAACCGGGCAACAGAGTGAGAACCTGTCTCAAAAAAAATAAAAAAACAAAGTGCCCATTTTTCTACTGAGTTGTCTTTTTATATACATTTATTTTGAAGTAATTATTTATAGATTCTAGAAATTAGCCCTGCATCAGATACATTTGTTATAAATATCTTCTCATTGCCTGTGGCCTTCCTTTTCACTCTTAATACTGTGGTTCAATAAACATAAGTTCTTAATTTTAATGTTGCTCAATTTACCAACAGTTTCTTTTATGGTTAGTGCTTTTTATACAGGAGGAATATACATCACCATGCCAATATCACACCTAAAAAATTAACAATTCCTTTATTTTAAATATCCAATATTCAAATTTACCCAATAACTTCAATTCTTTCTCTTTATTGCAGTTTGATTGGATCAGGATCCAAATTAGATCCAGAAATCATTAATATGCCTTAAGTTTTTTTTTTTAGATGGAGTCTTGCTCTGTTACCCAGGTCGGAATGCAGTGGCGTGATCTTGGCTCACTGCAACCTCCACCTCCTGGGTTCAAGCGATTATCCTGCCTCAACCTCCCGAGCAGCTGGGATTACAGGCATGCACCATCATGCCAGGCTAATTTTTCTATTTTTAGTAGAGATGGGGTTTCACCATGCTGGCCAGGGTGGTCTCAAACTCCTGACCTCAATTGACCCACCTGCCTCAGCCTCCCAAAGTGCTGGGATTATGGATGTGAGCCACCGCACTCGGCCTTAAATATTTTATTTAGGAGATAGGGTCTCACTCTATTGCTCAGGCTTGTCTTGAACTCCTGGCCTCAAGCCATCCTCCCACCTCAGCCTTTAGAGCGCTGGAATTACAGGCACAAGTGAACCAGCACCTAAAGTCTTTTAATCTATATGTTTTACCTTTCATATCTATCTCTATCACTCCCCACTCTTCCATGTTTTTTGAAATCAGAGAGAGTAGTGTGTGAAAGTGGTAAAACTCAAACTCGTTTTTTTTCCCTCTGTTCTCACACTGTAACAACAATCACAGAAGACTTCTGTGACCAAATGTTTTGGATGTCTCCCCACACACTCAACAAGCAATCAATTCTGCAGCGGACAGTAGCTGGGTACCATCCAATTCAATTCACTTCAGCCACTATTTGCCTAGAGATAGCTTCAGAAACCACAGGTTGAGAGCTCAGTCCCACATGACCACCCCCTCTTTTCCATCAGTTGTAGATCTGAGGCTCAAGAATTTCTGATCTACCAGTTTCAAGCTGGAGTCCCCATCACCCCCCACCCAATACAATATTGTATATTGGATACAAATATACAATATTTGCATATTGGATACAAATATACAGCCAGATGAAGAGATATATAGGGAGAGGTCTGGAAGAGTCCCCATTGCAAGAGCTTCGGAGTCTCCAGTGCAAGAGCTTCTGTCCCAGTGGAGCTGGGGTGCACCACCCCCCCAGCATGTGTTCACCTTCCTGTAAGCCTCCACATGTTCAGCTACTCAGGAGTTCCCTGAACCCTGTCCTCTAAAGCCTTTTATAGAGACTTCATTAGATGCACACATTGCATGGACAACCATGCAGAAATGTGACTAAACAAAAAGGATACTATCTAATACTAATAGACTAAGTGGGGAAACCCAGCAAGGCCTGTCTGTTCAGATTCTTCTTAGCCTCCCTGTGCAGCAGTCTTTCCTCCAGGATATAGGGTTTTGAAATGAGGGTCTTATAGCAATCAAACAAGGAAAGCCAGATAATTTTTTATGGCCAGCTCCAAGATAGAAAGGCAGGAGAAGATTCCTGCCTTGGGGAGAGAAAGGAGCAGGAGAAAGGGGAGGAGGAGATGGTCAGAGAGGGAGATTTTATTTTTGGAGGCCTGCTTCTGAGTTTCCAAGTGCCCCAAAGTTATAACAAGAGACTTTAATAAGGGCTTTCAGAATTATAAGCCAGGAAATCACAGACATGGAAAAAGAAATTTACACACACACACTTATTTACTAAAGCAACCAGGTCCATGTGATCTTCAGTCTCTTGAATTTCCTATAAACCAGCACTTAGAACTAGAGTCTTGATCAAGCTCAAATATGATTTTATGACAAGATTTCTCCATCAGGAGGTACATAGTATTTGGTTGTTTCTGTGATGGTAGCAGCATTGATGATTACTGCCTCATTCTATCAATTCATTGGGGATTGGAAATTTTAAGTATTTTAATTATATCACTTCATCATCTATTCTATGAAGAGAAACTTTCCCTAATCAACTACTTGAGCTCTAAGACACAATTTGTAAAGGAAAGAAATGATAATGCCTCGGAACAACCCTATAAGGTTGATAGTATTCTCAGCCCTATTGTTCAGGTGAGAAAACAGACACAACTTAATGATTGAACTAGGCTATAAACCAAGGAGTCCAACTCCTGAGTTTATGATTGTAATCAGTAGACTAAAATGCCTCTGCTAAAATCAAGAAACAAGTGAATACTCAGTATTACTCTGCAGGGAGGAGAGATCACAAAGACAGGCATTCAGAGTGGCTACAAATTTACTGCAGAAGGGAATATATTAATTGTATCAAAACCTAAACAAAGTACATCCCTTTGAGTCAGCAGTTCCAAACAAAGGCACTTATCTAAGAATACCATACTGCAGCATTACTTACAATAGCAAAAACCTTAAAACAACTTAAATGCCTGCTTGGTTCAATAAGGTGAGATACAGCCACAAAATGAAAATGGCACATCAATAAAAATGATGCTATATCAACAGAATAAAGGACAAAAACCATATGATCATTTCAATTGATGCTGGCCGGGTGCAGCGGTTCACGCCTGTAATCCCAGCACGTTGGGAACCCAAGGTGGGCAGATCGCCTGACGTCAGGAGTTCAAGACCAGCCTCGCCAACATGGCAAAACCCTGTCTCTACTAAAAAATACCAAAAATTAGCTGGGCGTGGTGGCAGGCGCCTGTAATCCCAGCTACTCGTGAGGCTGAGGCAGGGAGAACTGCTTGAACCCGGGAGGTGGAGGTTGCAGCGAGCTGAGATCGTGCCACTGCACTCCAGCCTGGGCAATAGAGTGAGACTCCATCTCAAAAAAAAAAAAAAAAAGGATGCTGAAAAAGCACTTGTAAAATTCAACAACGGTTCACAATAAAAACTCTCAATAAATTAAGTACAGAAGGAACCTACCTCAACATAATAAAGGCCATATATGACAAACCCAAGGCTAACATCATACTGAATAGGCAAAAGCTGAAAGCCTTCCTCTAAGCACTAGAAGACAAGGATGTCCACTTTCACCAATCTTATTCAACATAGTATTGGAAATCATAGCCAGGGAAATTAGGCAAGAGAAAGAAATAAAGAGCATCCAAATTAGAAAGGAAGAAGTCAGACTATCCTTCTTTGCAAATGGCATGGTCTCACATATAGAAAAACTGAAAAACACCAAAAAACTCTTGGAACTGATAAACTAATTCACTAAAGTTGTAGGACACAAAAACAACATACAAAAATCAGTAGCATTTCTTTTTTTGTTTGTTTTTGATACAGAGTCTTGGCTCTGTTGCCTAGGCTGGAGTGCTATGGCATGATCTCGGCTCACTTACAGCCTCCACCTCCCAAGTTCTAGCAATGCAATTCTAGCAAATCCAAGTTCTAGCCTCAGCCACCCAAGTAGCTAGGATTACAGGTGCAGGCTCCCACACCGGGCTAATTTTTGTACTTTTAGCAAAGATGAGGTTTCACCATTTTGGCCAGGCTGGTTTCGAACTCCTGGCCTCAAGTGATCCACCCACCTTGGCCTCCCAAAGTGCTGGGATTACAGGCATGAGCCACCACGCCCAGCCTGTGTGTCTGTTTTTATGCCAATACCATGTTGTTTTGGTTGCGATAGCTTCACAGTACATTTTGAAATCAGGTAGTGTGATGTCTCCAGCTTTGTTCTTTTTGCTTGGGATCACTTTGGCTATTTGGGATCTTTTGTGATCCCATACAGATTTCAGGATTTAAAAAATATCTGTGAATCTGCACATTGTTTTAGGTAGTACGGTCATTTTAACCATACTGCAGTGCAGTGGTGCGATCTTGGCTCACTGCAACCTCCACCTCCCAGATTCAAGCGATTCTCCTGCCTCAGCCTCCCAGGTAATCCCAGCATTTTGGGAGGCTAAGGCATGTGGATCACCTGAGGTCAGGAATTCGACACCAGCCTGGCCAGTGTGGTGAAACCCTGTCTCTACTAAAAATACAAAAATTTGCTGGGCATGGTGGTGCATGCCTGTAATCCCAGTTACTTGGGAGGCTGAGGCAGGAGAATGGCTTGAATCTGGAGGGCAGAGGTTGCAGTGAGCCAAAATGGCGCCATTGCACTCCAGCCTGGGTGACAAGAGCAAAACTCCATCTCAAAAATAAATAAAATTAATTAACAAATTAAATTAAATTAAAACAGACACCCAGACAAATAGAACAGAACTGAGAACTCAGAAATAAATCTATGCATTTACAGTCAACTCATTTTCCACAAAGGAACCAAGAACACACATTGGGAAAAGGACAGCCTCTTCAATAAATGGTGCTGTGAAAACTGGATATCTATATGCCAAAGAGTGAAACTAGAACCCTATCCTATCTCTCTCCATATACAAAAATCAACTCGAGGCTGGGTATGGTGGCTCATGTGTAATCCCAGCACTTTAGGAGGCTGAGGAAAGAGGATCACTTGAGGCCAGGAGTTCGAGACCAGCCTGAGCAACACAGCATGATCCTGTTTCTACAAAAAAAAAAAAAAAATTTAAAGAAATGATAAATGTGGCCAGGCGCGGTGGCTCATGCCTGTAATCCCAGCACTTTGGGAAGCTGAGACATGCGCATCACGAGGTCAGGAGATCAAGACCATCCTGGCTAACATAGCGAAACCCCATCTCTACTAAAAATATGCAAATTAGCTGGGCATGGTGGCGGGTGCCTGTAGTCCCAGCTACTCGGGAGGCTGAGGCAGGAGAATGTCGTGAACCCGGGAGTCGGAGCTTGGAGTGAGCCGAGATCGTGCCACTGTACTCCAGCCTGGGCGACAGAGCGAGACTCCGTCTCAAAAAAAAAACAAAAAAGAAATGATAAATGTTTGAGGTTATGGTAGTGCAGTGGGCTACACTGCAGCCTCAAACTCCTGGGCTCAAGTGATCCTCCTGCCCCAGCCTCCCATGTAGCTGGGACTACAGGCGTGCACCACCACGCCCAGCAAATTTTAAAAAATATTTTTGTAGAGACCTACTTCTGTAATTTTTAATAATACATGCTTACGTCTCTTCTAGCCAGAGATGCTCTGAGATAATTTTTGAAAAAATAAGACTTAAATAGGTAGAAAGGTCAGGTGTGGTGGCTCATGTCTGTAATCTCAGCACTTTGGGAGGCCAAGGCGGGCAGATCACTTGAGGTCAGGCCTTCGACACCAGCCTGGCTAACATGGTGAAACCCAACTCTACTAAAAATACAAAAATTAGCCAAGTGTGGTAGCAAGCACCTGTTGTCCCAGCTACTAGGGAGGCTGAGGCAGGAGAATTGCTTGAACCTGGGAGGCGGAGGCTGCAGTGAGCCGAGATCACGCTACTGCACTCCAGCCTGGGCGACAGGGCGAGACTCCATCTCAAAAAAAAAAAAAGGGTAGAAATGAGGGAGGGTGACAGAAAGAACACATTTCAGAGGTAGGAAAGAGCAAGAATCAAGATCCATGACACAGAGGCACCAAGCAGGGAGAAAGGCCAGTTAAGAGAGAAGGCTACATAAAAAAGAATAAAATCATATCCTTTGTGGCAACATGGATGCAGCTAGGGGTCATTATCCTAAGCAAATTAATGCAAGAAGAGAAAACCAAACACTACATGTTCTCACTTGCAGAGTGAACTGGGAGCTACACATGGACACAAAGAGGGGAACAAGAGACACCAGGGCTTGAGGGTGGAGAGTGGGAGGCTGGTGAGGATTGAAAAACTACCCATCTAGTACTATGCTCACTACCTAGGTGACAAAATCATTTGTACACCAAACCTCAGCAATGTGCAATTTGCCCGTGTACCAAACCTGCACATGTATCCCCTGAACCTAAAACAAGAATTGGAAGGAAATGAGAGACAGAAGACTACAAAGGATCTTAAAGTTTAAGCATTATGAAAAAGAGCCAGAATTCTATCACTCCACCCCACCCCCCCAATAATTATTAGGGCAGTTTCAGAACTCCTGAAAGATACAAAGAACAAGATGGATTAGGAGGGACCTAGAGCAAATCCTAACAGGAGGGAGCTCAATTCACAGGGTTTACAATAAGGCAAGCAATAAATCCTGAAATTTGGGAAATCTCAAAGAGTAAAAGACAGATAAGGATTCCAGGAGAGGTAAGGAATTCGGATTTAGGATACTGCAGGCATTTACAATACTGCAGTCCTGAAATGTTGAAGTCTCCAAGAGCAACAAACAGACAACAAACAACAAACAGATAAGGATTCCAAGTCACACCTGGTTAGAATCTGCATCCTGCCCTGGGCACGGGAACAAAGGAATAGGAGATTTCAAGCCTGAGTAACCGAGTCATCTGGGATTTTATCGCAGAAGAAAGAAACTGAAGGAGGGTGGTAAGAGTAGAATGAGAGAATTCAGATTTGAGACAAAGTCAGTTTGTGTGGACTGAAGGGCATGCACCTAGGAATGTCTTGTAGACCACTGAAACCACAGGACTAGCCAGGCATGGACTGTGGAGATATGGCTCTGAGAGTTGCCCACTCAGGGGTTCGGTGTCAATGGCAGACATCCTCTCCACATCAGAGACCCAGGGGCAGAGAGTGTTGCCCGTAAATCCCAAGTCCCAGGAACTCTCAAAACCTCAGCAAAGTCTTTACAGAGAAGCCCCAAGCTGGCCCTATGGAGACCTTAATACAAAGGAGCTTCTGCCAAAGACAACAAATCAAAAAGATGTCTGACTTTGGTAGGACAGGTCAGGTCCTTCCACACAGACAGCAGTGCTCATGAGAACCACAGTGTGGCATGAGGCTGTCCCTGGGGAGAGGCAGGCGGGAGAAAGGAAACTTCACAGAATACCCTTTGCTGCCTACAAATTCTGCACCACAGACTGCCTACTCAAAATAACACCATAAAGTTTAACTTTCTTCAAAAGGTCAGTCAACTTAGTGGGCTCAATGCCATCCCTACTGTTGGGGCAAACAACATGAGAACAAATATCAGTGACTGGCATAGGAAGCTGCCCGGTGGGGACCATACGTGGGGGTGGGGAGGGGGTGCCTCACTATTACCCCAGCCAAGTAACCACCACATGACAAGACTTGGAAGGCAGGAACCCTGCCCAGTGCCAGGAACAAATTAGCATTCTTTCAAGGAGACTTTGGCAAAATTAATAGTGAAGAGTCAGTGTCCGTCTCTTTTCTGAACCAGAGGCAGTATGACACACAAACAGCTGTACTTTTTCACCCCCAACAGCCTCTAGTGCCAGTCCAGAAGGGCTGGGAGACCTTAACAACATAGAATGTAGCTTAACAAACTGTGGAGAGGAATCTCCTCCACCTACGTGGATCCTAGAAAAGATGGAAAAGTGTGAAAACCAGAAACAGTAACACTCAAATCTTTTCAAACAGTTTAAAGGATGATTATCTGCCCTGTGAAATTAGTTACAATGGCCGGGCACGGTGGCTCACGCTGTACCAGCCCTTTGAGAGGCCGAGGCGAGAAGATCGCTTGAACCCAGGAGTTCAATGGTCAACATTTTAAGACCCTGTCTCTATTATAAAATAAGTATGTATATATTTATATATATAAATTCAAAAAAGAAATTAGTTACAAGATTCATTTTAAAAAGAGTTTCTCAAATATATTCAAGATTATATAATTTCTGGCAGTTGTAAGGTTGAGAATAAAGTGAGGGAGGAGAAATGCTTTACATTAGTAGGACAGTGCAGGTTTTATACAATCTTCTTGTTTATCAAACATATTCTGAATGATTTTATCAAGTATTATGTTCCCATATCCATCAGCTGTTAGACTCTCATGCTCATTTTCTACCTTACCAATTTAAATATGCAGTCGGCTGGGTACGGTGGCTCATGCCTGTAATCCCAGCATTGTAGAAGGCCAAGGCAGGCAGATCACCTGAAGTCAGGAATTTGAGACCAGCCTGGCCAACATGGTGAAACCCTGTCTCTACTAAAAATATAAAAATTAGCTGGGTGTGATGGTGGGCGCCTGTAATCCCAGCTACTCGGGAGGCTGAGGCAGGAGAATCACTTGAACTCGGGAGGCAGAGGTTGCAGTGAGCTGAGATCACGCCATTGGACTCCAGCCTGGGCAACAAGAGAGAAACTCCATCTCAAAAAATAAATAGATAAATAAAAATAAAACTCTTAAATATTATTGATTTAAAAAAGATTGTATTATTTCTTTAAATCAGTAGGGAAAAAATTGATTATGTGGAGTCAAAACAGGCAATAAAATTCTGAATAATATCCTTATGAACACTGATAACACCAGCCCCTCTCAGAAATACAGACACCGTCCATAGCAGACCCTACAGTCAGTGAATGTTCTAAAGAGAAGCGTTGAATACTGAATGACTGCTTATTACTAGAACAAATGGTTCTCATGCTAACAGTCATTAACTGGAAAGCATTTCTTCCAAGCACCCTCACCCACTGCCTGGGTAAGGCGCCTTGTGGTCTTCAAGCACTGCGCCGGGAGTGCCTTTCAAGGATACCAGAGTGGCCACTCCCAGGAAAGTGCTCACAAATGTCTAAATCACAGTCATCCGATAACCAGGAAAACTGAAACTAATCAACTTTCTCTATAAAACACATACATTTTTTTCTGCAAAGAGTCTCCACATTTACTCTGAGACCTTTTTAACATTTAACATTTTGAAAGATTTATATAGTATTTTTTTGATTTTGTAGCCAAATAAGAAAAATAGGTAACATTTGGGTATCATATCTATCAATGTTAATCAATAAAGAAGCTTTTAAAGTCTGTAAATTAATTCTATGAGAAAAAAATAAAAAACAACAACCGGGAATTAGAAGACCTTCATAGGCCAGGCGCGGTGGCTCACGCCTGTAATCCCATCACTTTGGTAGGCCAAGGCGGGAGTATCACCTGAGGTCAGGAGTTCGAGACCAGCCTGACCAACATGGAGAAACCCCATCTCTACTAAAAATACAAAATTAGCTGGGCGTGGTGGCATGCCCGTAATCCCAGTTACTCAGGAGGCTGAGGCAGGAGAATTGCTTGAACCCAGGAGGCAGAGGTTGCGGTCAGCTGAGATTATACCATTACACTCCAGCCTGGGCCAACAACAGCGAAACTTCGTCTCAAAAAATAAATAAATAGAAGACCTTCATAATACGAACCATTCTGTATCTAACCAACTAAGTCATCTTGAGCTAATAACTTAAACTCTCTGAGCTGTGGCATCCTCTTCTATAAAATAACTACCTCAAGCCGGGTGCCATGGCTCAGGCCTGTAGTCCTGAGCTACTCAGGAGACTGAGGTAGGAGGATGGCTTGAGCTCAGGAGTTTAAAGCTGTAGTGAGCTATGACTGTGCCACTACACTCCAGCCTGGGCAACAAGGTGAGACCCTGTTCCTAAAAATAAAAAACACCTTTAAAGTCCCTTCTAGTCCTAACAACCAAGGAGAGCAATTTAACATTTTTTAAAGATGATAAAAATTCTTTTTTTTTGAGATGAAGTCTCGCTCTGTCCTCCTGGCTGGAGTGCAGTGGTGGGATCTCGGCTCACTGCAAGCTCCGCCTCCCGGGTTCACGCCATCACGCCATTCTCCTCAGCCTCCTGAGTAGCTGGGACTACGGGCGCCACCACACCCAGCTAATTTTTTTTTTTTTTTGTAGTAGAGAAGGGGTTTTGCCGTCTTAGCCAGGATGGTCTCAATGTCCTGACCTCGTGATCCGCCCGCCTCAGCCTCCCAAAGTGCTGGGATTACAGGCGTGAGCCACCGCGCCCGGCCGATAAAAATTCTTCTAATGAAATACCATGTTAACCTGGGCAAACACAAAACATTTTTTAAAAATAGATTTTGGAAAAACTAATTTTAAATAGTCAAAAATCATGCAGTAATTGAGTTTTTAAAATAAAATCATACTGTTTGAGCAACAAAAATAAGAAACATAAAATAATTGGTTATATGAGAAAATAATCTTTCACCTCCTCTCCCTGTTAAGCCTGGGAATCATAGTTAAGGTTTACTGATTTTTTTAATTCCTAAATTATTTCTCAACATAAAAAAATTTTCTTGAAAAAAATTAAGCATTTCTCTTATACCTGAAGTAGTTATAGTTCTTTAATATTTTATTTGAGTAGTTCAATCTCAAAGTCTATTGAAAACCATTTTTAATTATAAAAGAAGGTAATTGCATACAACAGTGTTCAGTGGTCCTTCTACAGTTAAAGCCTGTGATTCGGAGTACTGAAAAATTCCACAAGAAAATAAACCAAAAAGAGGCCGGGCGCGGTGGCTCACGCCTGTAATCCCAGCACTTCAGGAGGCCAAGGCGGGTGGATCACCTGAGGTCAGGAGTTTGAGACCAGCCTGACCAACATGGTGAAACTTTGTCTCTACTAAAAATAAAAATATTAGTTGGGCGTGGAGGTATGTGACTGTAATCTCAGCTACTCGGGAGGCTGAGATGGGAGAATCACTTGAACCCAGGAGGCAGAGGCTGCAGTGAGCCAAGAACACATCAATGCACTCTAGCCTGGGTGGCACAGCGAGACTCCATCTCAAAAAAAAAAAAATTAAAATTGAAAATAAACCGAAGATAGGTCATAGAAGGCTAAGTCCTTTCTATAAAACTTTCCTTAAAAGGTAATGAATATGAATAGGTTCTACAAATATATATAACTTGAAGATTTAATCACCTTTCAAGTGTGTAAGATGAATATTAAAGTTTTTTCTATAAAAATCTATTTTAATCAGTAGCAACATAGCTAACATATTATGTGACAAGCTCTGCTGTCAGCCCATACATACGTTTAATCCACATGAATATCCTGTAAAGCACATACAATTTTATGACCCCCATTTTAATGATGGACAAACTGAGGCTGCCACAACTTCCATGATCTACTCAAAGTTACACAGCCTTTATGTGGCGGAGCCCAGGCTCAAGGTAGATGTAACTGACCCAAGCCCCTGCTCTTACACGCTATCTTCAGTTAAGATTTAAACTCCCCTTTCTAAATGATGTCACTATTTCCTCTCCATATGGGTTTCATCTATCTAGAAAGGAAGCCTTGAAATAAGTAAAGCTCTAATTTAAATAGCACTTCAGCAATTAAGTAAAGCAGAAAACCCCAGAACCTATACGCTAACTTCCGAAACAAAATCTCCTGAAATGCCAACTCAATCATAAATTTTAAGATGCCAATCTTTCAGACCATATCTCATCCTTTGCTTTCCTAAGCTCCATCAGAAAAATATGGTTGGGTAGGAAGAGGATCATTCCCAAAGCCTAAACTCCAAGTTTCTTAGTTTGGCAACTATACTGTGCTTTGGGACTTTAAAATTATAAGCACAGTTCCCAGAGGAGAACATTTCCTTTATTAGCAATTGGCTTTGAAAATTCCATTCTCAGATGCTAAATATAACAAAATACCTTCTGACTTTTATAAATAAACATGCTCCAGATTATTTTGATACTAATGATTTTCTATTTACAAGACAGTTTTGCCACAGCAGTTAAGCAACTGTAACATTTTGAGGAATCTTTCAAGTTTACTCCAGAGCTTTTTTTTTTTTTTTTTTTAAGACAGAGTCTTGCTCTGTCGCCCAGGCTGGCGTGCAGTGGCGCCATCTCGGCTCACTGCAAGCTCCGCCTCCCAGGTTCACGCCATTCTCCTGCCTCTCAGCCTTCCGAGTAGCTGGGACTACAGGCGCCCACCACCACGCCCGGCTAATTTTTTGTATTTTTAGTAGAGATGGGGTTTCACCATGTTAGCCAGGATGGTCTCGATCTCCTAACCTCGTGATCCACCCGCCTCGTCCTCCCAAAGTGCTGGGATTACAGGCGTGAGCTACCACGCCCAGCCTCCAGAGCTTTTCTTTTCTTTTAAGACGTTGTTTGGCTCTTGTTGCCCAGGCTGGATGGAGTGCAACGGCGCAATCTCGGCTCACCGGAACCTCTGCCTCCCAAGTTCAAGCGATTCTCCTGCCTCAGCCTCCTGAGTAGCTGGGATTACAGGCATGCACCACCACGCCCGGCTAATTTTGTATTTTTAGTAGAGACGGGGTTTCTACTAAAACCCCGTTGGTCAGGCTGGTCTCGAACTCCTGACCTCAGGTGATCTGCCCACCTCAGCCTCCCAAAGTGCTGGGATTACAGGCGTGAGCCACCGCGCCCAGCCTATTCCAGAGCTTTTAAAGCACTGACTTGAAAATTGTTCACTGGATTCTTCTACTATGAAATTAAAAAGTTCTTGTTTCATAATGCATTTCCTTAAAATTTATTATTTCTAATTTCCTTGGGTTCTAACACAAGAATATTGGCAAAGCCAAAGTCATGGAAGTAGGTGTTTCCCAAACTATGAAACAGAATAAATCAGGATTTTTTAAAAGTTTACTATGGGCCGGGCACGGTGGCTCACACCTGTAATCCCAGCACTTTGGGAGGCCAAAGTGGGTAGATCACCTGAGGTCAGGAGTTCGAGACCAACCTGGCCAACATGGTGAAACCTCGTCTCTACTAAAAACACAAAAAAATTAGCCAGTCGTGATGGCAGGCACCTGTAATCCCAGGTACTGGGGAAGCTAAGGCAGGAGAATTGCTTGAACACGGGAGGTGGAGGTTGCAGTGAGCCGAGATTGTGCCATTGCACTCCAGCCTGGGCAACAAGAGCGAAACTCTGTCTCAAAAAAAAACAAAAAAACAAACCAACAAACAAAAGTTTACTATATACATTCAAAGACAAATAATAGATTTCACAGTTTTTAAAATGTTCCCTTATTAAAAATCCCAAACATGGCCAGGTGTGGTGGCTCACGTCTGTAGTCTCAGCACTTTGGGAGACCGAGGCGGGCAGATCACGAAGTCAGGAGTTCAAGACCAGCCTGGCCAATACAGTGAAACCCCATCTCTACTAAAAATACAAAAAAAAAAACGCCAGGTACAGTGGCTCATGCCTATAATCCCAGCACTTTGGGAAGCTGAGGCGGGAGGATCACCTAAGGTTGGGAGTTTGAGGCCAGCCTGACCAACATTGAGAAGCCGTGCCTCTACTAAAAATACAACATTAGCCGGGCATGGTAGCACACGCCTGCAGTCCCAGCTACTCGGGCGGCTGAGGCAGGAGAATTGCTTGAACCTGGGAGGTAGAGGTTGCGATGAGCCAACATCATGCCATTGCACTCCAGCCTGGGCAAAAGAGCGAAACTCCCTCTCAAAAAAAAAAAAAAAAATTAGCCGAGCGTGGTGGCGGATGCCTATAGTCCCAGCTACTCAGGAGGCTGAGGCAGGAGACTAGCTTGAACCTGGGAGGCAGAGGTTGCAGTGAGCTGAGATCGTGCCACTGCACTCCAGCCTGGGCGACAGAGAGAGACTCCGTCTAAAAAAATAATAATAATAAAATCCCATACATGACAATTCAGTGACAATTGAGAAGTTCTGAATAATGGGGTGAGGAACTGATTGTCTTGTTCTCGGTAATGAACATCAGGCTTTTAACAGAGTGCATAGCAGCTGTCTTTTAGGAAACAACACGCCACAAGTGGACCTCATGACCCCAGGCATTCTGTCACTGTATAAGTGATATAAGTGCACCTCTAGCTGGACAGCTCCTCAGGTCCTCCCAGTCTAAAGTACAGGATGTGAAAGTAAGACGGTTCAACTCGCACTTTATCTCTGGGGGATGGATCCAACGAGTCCGGGAAGGAGGGTAGAATCTTTATGTTGCATCTCATAATCCCAAGGTTGTTTTTTGACATTCTAATTATTGTACATAGTTAGCTTTTCAAAAACATGGCCCACCAGCTATCATGCCTTCTTTCTTCTCTCTCTCCTCACACCTTCTAGGTCCACAAAGTCCCACTAACATCAAGCATGATCTCACCCTTAAACAGAGCTACAGAGCCTCCAAACATCTGCATACTCACCAACTAGTAGTACAAGGTAAGTCAGAATTCTTTCAGGCTGAACCAGGATAGCCAAATGAAAAATTAGAGACTTCAAAGTATCTTGTCTCTGCAAGCGACTGCTAAATCCTCAGCCCCAGCCCTAAATGTTCTCCAAAATATGTTTTTGTTTTTGTTTTTTGAGACAGGGTCTCAAACTCCTGGGCTCAAGCGATCCTCCTGCCTCAGCCTCCCTAGAAGCTAGGATTACAGGCGAGCAGCACTGTGCCTGGCCAAAATATATGTTCTAAAAATCGGTAGGAACAGTTCTCTTTGGATAGTCCACTGTCAACTGCAATAACACGAAAGTTGTTTAAAAAAAACCCATGATCTCATTATCTTTCACCAAAAACATTCCTCCTAGTGTAACTGCTCTGTTGACATCCTGTCACCAAATCTTGTGCTTTCTTCCTTCTGGGTGTCTCCCTAATGTCCGTTGCGTCCAGTCATCAAAAAGTTACAGGCTGCATTAGGGGAAGCCGTGAGCCTGGTGTAAGGCAACAGGGATTGGTGGGAACCGATGATCCTCAGCTCCAGCCAACCATTGAGCAGGTGACAAAGTGATGGTGGACCCTCCAATTATCTAAGACAGGCAAGAAATTTAGATTGTTAGGAGAAACTTTCTGATTTTTAAGGCAATATGTGGGCCAAAGAAAACATCTACAGGTCACTCATGGGCAATCCCGAGTGAACCAGGCTCCCTCAGTCTGGTCCAGGCTCCCTCAGTCCCTTCTACACATCACTGTCTGATCAGTTTCCCAAACACAGGGCTCCTGATCACTGCTATCTCGGAAAGCACAACTACTGCTACAAAGTCCTATACTGCCATTCAACCTCCACAGTAATAAAACCAATCCCTACCTTCCTTAACTCCCCTACACAGATCTTTCACTTCACCCAAAGGAGTCCACTCCCCCACCCGTCACCCCCGCCACTGTCCCCGCCAAGATGGCCTCCTTCCTACTCTCCTCCCCTACCCACCAGAGCCCACACGGTGCAGGAAACAACCCATCAACCGGGAGGACGCCCTCCAACACCTGCTGATGACGGACTGGCTCACTGGGTAACACCCCTTTGCTCAAAGCCGATGATTTCATGCCCAAGAAGGGATTTACATCTCCCAGGAGGCAAATGCTATGGCCTTGTCCTGATTCCCCCACCCCCCAAAATAATAACATTGTAAAAGGGAACGGAGAGCCTAAGTTGCGCTCAGAGGAGCCGCCTCCCTAAGAAGGCTCTGCATATCTTCACCTCCAGGAAGGCCTCACGGAGTTGGGGGAGAGGGGAGTCCCCGCAGCCAGCCCAGCGAGGCAGGAGGCCGTGCGCCACTCCCGAGAAGCTCCTTCCTGCGCCCCGGGGGAGCCACTTCAGTCAGACCCTGAGCCGGGACCCCGACCCGCCGACCCCTGACGCGCGCGCCGCGAAGGCCGGGCACCCGAGGGCCCTTCGCGCTACCCGGGCCCGGGGCCGCCGTCGGCTGCGACAAAGGGTCAGAGAACAAGACGACCCCTCTGCGCGCGTCCCCCGCAGGCCTCCCGGATGCGCCGCTGTCCCGGCCGCGCCCACCCCGACGCTGCCGCTACCTTGTCCTCGGGTGGCGCAACCGGCTCATGGGCCACCCTCTGCCTCAGCTCTGTCATCCTGGGAAAATCGGCCCGACGTCGCCGCGAGCTAGCAGCGAAGCCGCCGGAGCAGGCAGCTCGGCGCGGGCACGCGCGGACTCCCACGGCCGGCCCCGCCCCGCCCGGGAGGCGCGCGGCTCTGAGCGGCTCACAGTTCCCTTAGCAGCCCAGCAGCCAGCCCTGGAGCTCGGCCCCACCCAGTGCCGTCACCGCCCTTTCACCCGGGCCGAGCGGGGTCAGCCTTCCCTAGCCCCGACCCGAGAGCTCCCTCTCCCGGGAGCAGGGCTCGGAGCGAGTGCGCACGCGCAGCGCCACCATCACGGTCCGGAATATCCACCAATGGCGCAAATACGCCAGGGAGGCAGGGCGACGGGGGCGGGGCGGGGCGGAGCAGAGTCGAGAGGCGCGCATTGGACGGCAGCGTCAGGGGCGGGAAAAGGCGTGCGTTTCAGTGTGCGATTAGCCAATGGGAGCTCCCGCTTAACCGCGGATGGCCGGAGCTGGCGCCCTGGTTCTGGAGGTAACCGGTTACTGAGGGCGAGAAGCGCCACCCGGAGGCTCTAGCCTGACAAATGCTTGCTGACCTGGGCCAGAGCTCTTCCCTTACGCAAGTAAGTAGACGTTATTTAGGTCGAATGGAAAGGCCAGGTGAGCCGACCTGGTTAAGAGCATTTTATCACTTATCACATGATGAGAAATGAAACCCACGCTTCAGTCTGCTTTGCTTTGCCAAGCGGTCGCTAGTACTTGTTAAGCACTAATTGTATACTAGGCACTGAGCTGAGTAATCGCTTTAGTTGGCTTATCTCGTTTAATCCACACATGGCTTGGAAGTGGGTATGATTTGAATTTTACAGTTAAGATCTTCCTCAGTGGTTTGTTTGTTTGTTCGTTTGTTTGTTTGTTTTGTGACGGAGTCTCGCTCTGTCGCCCAGGCTGGAGTGCAGTGGCATGATCTCGACTCACTGCAACCTCTGCCTCCCGGGCGCAAACAATTCCAAGGTGCGCGCCACCACGCCCGGCTAACTTTTGTATTTTTAGTAGAGACGGGGTTTCACCATATTGGTCAGGCTGGTCTCGAACTCCTGACCTCAGGTGATCCGTCCGCCTCCGCCTTCCAAAGTGCTGGGATTACAGGCGTGAGCCACCGAGCCTGGCCCTTCCTCAGTTTTTCAAATTTGTCTTCTGGACTATGGAAAGACCTTTTTTGGGACAGAAGTGCTGTCTACTTTGTTTACTGTGCATCCTCTATGTCTTTGACACATCCATTGTAAGTACTTGTTGGATGGATTTAAAACTTTTAAAAGGACCTTAGCCAAGGTCTCCCAGCTAGAAAGTGCCTAGTAAGAATTAGAACACAAACAGGTTTGTTACCAGCCCACACTCTAACCACCATACTATACTGCCTGCCTGCATTTATTAATACTTGTGTTGCTCCAGCATTGCCTTTGGTGTTTCCTGTTCTTTCTATTCACTGCCCTGTAAGTGATGTAAAACACATATAACACTGCGTCCCCAACTTAAGCATACTGTAATCTCACAATGAGACACTTGCACACAAAAGAATTGCAATTTCGTTTTTTAAAAAAATATAATTTTACATTTTTCTTCTTTTCAATTTTTAAATTTTAATTAATTTATTTCTCCTTTTTTTAGAGACAGGGTCTCACTATGTTGCCCAGACTGGTCTTGAACTCCTGGGTTCAAGAGATCCTCCCGCCTAGGTCTCCCAAAGTGCTGGGATTACAGGCATGAGCTACCATGCCTGGCTAAAATTTCCTATTGGTAATTTTGACCTGAGCTGTGAGTTTTGGGGCAGGTAGTGAGAATTCTGAAAACAGCATTATATATTCCTGATTTCTATATGAGTATATGCCCGAGTAGCTTGGACTACAGGTGTGCAGCACCACACCCAGCTAACTTTTAAATTTTTGTGTAGCGATGAAGTCTCACTTTATTGCTTAGGCTGGTCTTAAACTCCTGGGCTCGAGCAATCCTCCCACATAGGCCTCCTAAAGTTCTGGGATTACAGGCATGAGCCACAGCACTCGAGCAAGATGATCTTCTAAGACAGGTGAAGATGTTAGTGTCTAGAACTTCACCTTCAGGGGCACGTAGGTATGAAAGGTCATATCTAAGTGAGTGTCATGTCAGTCCTTCTAGAAACTCAGCTGCTCCTTTTCAAATCCAGCCTAATAAAAGGAGGCTTGGAGAATCAATGCACATAAGTCAGAATTATAGAATGCACAGCATGATTACTAGGATGGATAACATGTGGTCTGAACAAACTTCTCATCCATTACACTCAGCCCTCTCAGGTTAATGGAACTCAGATCAAGTATATTCCTGAAGTCAGTACTGTGTGACGAACAGGGGTCTGGTGGAAGTGATGCTAATAGGGCTTTAGGCCAGCTTTAGAGCCCTTCTCTCTCTCTCTTTTCGTTTTTTGTTTTCTTTTTGTTTGTTTTTTGTTTTTTTTTTTTAGACAGTTTCCCTCTTGTTGCTCAGGCTGGAGTGCAATGGTGTGATCTCGGCTCACTGCAACCTCCGCCTCCCAGGTTCAAGCAATTCTCCTGTCTCAGCCTCCCGAGTAGCTGGGACTACAGGCGCCCGCCACCACAGCTGGCTAATTTTTGTATTTTTAGTAGAGACAGGGGTTTTAGGTCAGGCTGGTTTTGAATTCTTGACCTCAGGTGATCCGCCCACCTGGGCCTCCCAAAGTGCTGGGATTACAGGCATCAGCCACTGCACCTGGCTCAAGAAACATTCTTAAGCATGCTTGATCTTGGTAAATGCCCCTGATTTCTTCTGTAGGAAAAAACCCTAGAGATCGAATTTCTGTGTCAAAGAATAAGTAAAATTCTAAGGCTTTTGATACACATTTCTAAGTTTCCACCAGAAAAATTATACCAATGTATACTCCCACTTGCAATGTATTTAAGTGCCTACTTCCTTGAATCCTTCCTAACACACCAGGTGTTAACATGATTTTTATTAATTTGGTAGGTTAAAATTCTGTCTCCATTGAATTTACATTTCTTTGCTTATTAATGTGGCTAACAAACTTCACGTTTATGAAGACTAGGACTGGACAGTGGAGGCCAGATACCTCTGGCTTTTTGTTTAGATGAATAAATTTTCTATTTCTCTTAATCCATTCAAGTTGAGTTCTCTGTCACTGAAACCTAAACTATACTAACCAATATAATCCTTTGAGGCATACTGAAGTCTTAAAACTTGTATGGTTATTCATTATGTTTTATGGGTTTTTTTCTTATGTTTGGAAGCCCATAGGAAGATCTCATAAATATTTACCAAAATATTTTTCCATTTCTTATTGGGTCAAGATTTGAATTTGAATTCTTTATCTAGAATTTAGTGAATAATTATTAGGAAAAGTCTTTTTTTTTTTTTTTGAGATGGAGGTTTGCTCTGTCACCCAGGCTGGAGTACAGTGGCGCAATCTTGGTTCACTGCAACCTCTGCCTCCCGGGTTCAAGCAATTCTCCTGCGTCAGCCTCCCTAGTATCTGGAATTACAGGTGTGCACCACCACGCCCAGCTAATTTTTGTATTTTTAGTAGAGACGGGGTTTCACCATGTTGGCCTGGCTGGTCTCGAACTCCTGACCTCAGATGATCCACCTACCTCAGCCTCCCAAAGTTCTGGGATTACAGGCATGAGCCACTGCGCCCATCCAGAAAAGTCTACAGCTTTTATTCTTTTCTAATAGTTTAACCAATTATCTGATCAAAATTTACTTCATTCTTTCTCCCACTGATCCAATAGTACCTTTACTAGATGTTAGAGTAGCCACTTAAAATGTAAATTGGATCACATCAAAGATCTGCTGTTGACCACATTCCCTTGCACTTTTAGAGAGCCTACAAAGTCCTGCAAGAGCTCACCCCAGCCTCTCTGCAACCTCACCTTGCACCACTCTTGCTTCAGACACATCAGTCTGAGTTCTACATCAAACTTGTCTGAATATATTCCAAGTATGCTGACCTTTATAATCATGCTATTCTCTCAGCCTAGAATGCTTTTTTCCAACTCTCCAAGCAGCTGTCTTCTCTGATAAGATGCTACCTCCTCAGAGAGGCCTTCTCTGACCACAGTCATAGGCATGTTTATGTCCTCATTTCAGTTTAACATAAAATTTACGTAACTGTACACCTCTTTATCATTTGACACTTTTAGGAGGACATCACTTCTGTAATAGAGCAGAAATAAACAGATTGATGTACATGGTGGATCCCCCATGGATAGAGTTTGTCATTTAAAATGTCTTCAAATCTATTACATGTAATTTGGCATTAAACCAAAATGTTATTATGTAAGCAGACAGAACTGAAACAGAGTAGTGGAGCATATGCATTTGTTTTTAGTGAAGCAAATGTTCCTCACTGGAGGAAGGAACACATTCCACATTTTGCAAAGGAACTGAGATTTTAACGGACCCAAGAAAGGAAAAGAACCACAAACAGATGATGCTGTATTATGTTTTGATATTGAGATGTATGCAAATGGGTAGTCCATCACACATAAAGCAAGAAAGTGCCAACATCAAAACTTACAAATGAGTAGCAGAGGCTTGCAAGAAATTCCAGAGACAATAGAATAGCACTATTGAAAAATACTGCATCATCAATACCCTTGACAACACAGAGTAGGATATTATACAGAAAAACAGCAGAATCAGCAACTAACTGAGTGGAGAAACAGTAGGAATGCCTTAACCAATGTAGCTTAAATTTTTTCATGTTTGCACAAGAGTAATATATAATAAGAATGTTTTTAAAGTCTAAAAGTTCTTTTAAAACAAAATAGACCCGGGCGCGGTGGCTCATGCCTGTAATCCCAGCACTTTGGGAGGCCAAGGCAGGCAGATCACATGAGGTCAGGAGTTCAAGACCAACCTGGCCAACATGGCAAAACCCCGTCTCTACTAAAAATACAAAAATTAGCCAGGTGTGATGGCGCATGCCTGTAATCCTAGCTATTCAGGAGGCTGAGGCATGAGAATTGCTTGAACCCAGGAGGCGGAGATTGCGGTTAGCCAAGATCACACCACTGCACTCCAGCCTGGGTGATAGAGTGAGACTCTGTCTCAGAAAAAAAAAAAAGAAAAAGAAAAAGAAAAAAAAAAAGAAATTCTAAGTGATAAAGCATTGTGTAACAGTTTGAGGCTGGGCACAGTGGCTCATGCCTGTAATCTCACACTTTGGGAGACCGATTGGGAAGATTGCTTGAGCCCAGGAGTTGGAGACCAGCCAGAGCGACATAGTGGGACCTTCTCTCTACAAAAACATTTAAAAATTAGCCAGGTACAGTGGTGCACCCCTGTAGTCCCAGCTATTTGGGAGGTGGCAAGAGGATCTCTCGAGCCTAGAAGTTGGAGGTGGCAGTGAGTAGTCATCTTGCCACTGCACTCCAGCCTGGGTGTCAAAGGGAGACTCCCCTCTCTAGAAAATAATAAAAAAAAAAGTTTGACAGTTTTCTTGCTTGTGCTACATAAAATAATGGTACATATTACAATTGAAGGCATCTTATAATAGAAATGCCCTTTCCTGTTCCCTTTTAAGGCTGACCCAGTGCTTTAAGAGGCTGATACAGAAGGGTAAAGTTAAGTCTCCACAAAATCCAGGGAAGAGACTGTGAAACTCATCTTAGAACCTTGTATGGAGTCACAGCTGAACTAGGAAAAAAAAAAAAAAAAAAAAAAGGAAAGAAAGGCATTCCAGAGATAAAGAATAGACTAAGGAGAGGAGATATTTGAAGCCATAATGATTGAGAATATGTCAGACTTGAAATGAATCTTCAGTTCCCTCAACAAGACAAATAAAACTAACTCCATACCTAGATACATGGTAGAAAAACTAAAGAATTCTGCTGACCAAGGTATTAAAAGTAACTAAAGAGAAGTGGTGTGAAGAAAGCAAGAGAGAAACAACAAATCCTGTCCATCCTGTAACAATTGAAAATTTCTGGCTGGGCGTGGTGGCTCACGCCTGTAATCCCAGCACTTTGAGAGGCCGAGGCAGGTGGATCACCTCAGGTCAGGTGTTCAAGACCAGCCTGGCCAACATGGTGAAACCCCGTCTCTACTAAAAAAAAATAATAATAATAATACAAAAATTAGCCGGGGGTGGTGGTAGGCACCTGTAATCCCAGATACTCGGGAGGCTGAGGCAGGAGACTCACTTGAACCTGGGAGGCGGAGGTTGCAATGAGCTGAGATCGCGCCACTGTACTCCAGCCTGGATGACAGAGCAGGACTCCATCTCAAAAAGAAAGGAAAAGAAAAGAAAAAATATTAAATGTGTACGCTCTTTGACTCAGCTGTATTACTTCAAGGAGTTGATATCACCAAAATTGCCTAAGTGCTCAAAGGTGTTTGTAGTTAAACAACAGGAGATTGATAAATTATGTTATATACATGTGATGCTATGTTTTAAAGAGGTACTGATATGATAAAAGATGTACGTGGCATAAAATTAAATGTACTTTATTAAGTACTTTTCCAAGTGTTTACGGAATGAGTGCATTTTTGAAAAAAAAAAAGTGTATTCGAACTTTTAAAAAAGCTTTAAAAGCTTTATACAATGAACGATTGAGTGATTATAAGAGCTGGCGGGGGAATGTTAAGAGGATGATAGGGAGCTAAGTTTAACAGAACAATTCACCTCTTTATCTTGTGACACCTACGAGCGCATCAATTCTGTAATTGAAAAATAAAGTGCATATTTGCAGCAGCTGTACTCTCTTCAGGCTGCAAGGAGGCTTTTCCTCCCGGTAGGCTTGATTTGCATTTCACTTTCACTTTCGTGGCTGGAAACTTTCTACCCACGTAGTGGGAGGCTGAGGAGCCACCATAAAGCTGGGGCTTGACGAGCCGGGACCGGGACCCGATCTCCACATATGCCCGGACTTGTTCTGCGGCCGGGTTCAGGAGTCAAAGAGGCGGGGAGACCTGCGCGACGCTGCCCCGCCCTGCGCCCGCTTCCTCCAATGTATGCTCTAGGGGGCGGGCCTCGCGGGGAGCATGGACACGATTGGCCCTAAAGTCTTCCCCGCAAGGCCGTGGGCTGGACAGCGTGGTGACGTCGCAACGCGGCGCAGGGTGAGAGCGCGCGCTTGCGGACGCGGCGGCATTAAACGGTTGCAGGCGTAGCAGAGTGGTCGTTGTCTTTCTAGGTCTCAGCCGGTCGTCGCGACGTTCGCCCGCTCGCTCTGAGGCTCCTGAAGCCGAAACCAGCTAGACTTTCCTCCTTCCCGCCTGCCTGTAGCGGCGTTGTTGCCACTCCGCCACCATGTTCGAGGCGCGCCTGGTCCAGGGCTCCATCCTCAAGAAGGTGTTGGAGGCACTCAAGGACCTCATCAACGAGGCCTGCTGGGATATTAGCTCCAGCGGTGTAAACCTGCAGAGCATGGACTCGTCCCACGTCTCTTTGGTGCAGCTCACCCTGCGGTCTGAGGGCTTCGACACCTACCGCTGCGACCGCAACCTGGCCATGGGCGTGAACCTCACCAGGTGAGCCTCGCGGCCCCGGGAAGCCGGCCCCGGCCCGCCTGCACCTCCGGTGCTTGGCGGGAGCGCTTTCGAGCCTAGCCCTCATTGGCTGGCGTGGGCCATCCGCGCCTTCTCATTGGCCTGCCACGCAGTGGGGTGGGGCCCAGCTGAGCGCGCGGTTCGGAAAAGCCCGCGCTGGCTGCTGCGCGAACCTGCTTTTTCGCGCCAAAGTCACAAAGCGGGTGGTGGCGGGAAAATCAAGGGTTTTTCCGCAGTGCCAGGAACACTGTTCCAGGGCTCTTTGCTCACTAAATCCTGTTGGCCTTGAATGGACGCTTTAGCTGTGGCTTTCTTGTTTCTGAGACGGTCTCGGTGTGTTGCCCGGGCTGGTCTCCAACTTCTGGGCTCAAGCGATCCTCCCGGCTCAGTCGCGGTTGACTTTAAATGCTTTATAATGCCCTTGCGAGAAATGTGGCAGCCTGTCATCCTACTTAGTGGCAGGAGATTGTTTCTATCCAGAAGGGACACTGCTGGTGGTATTTTAGTATAAATACTGCCAGATGCGTCCCAAAACGTCTGCATTAATAATGGCATCCTCCAGCAGTCCGCTTACCCTCCACCAGTTCTGAGACGGCCTGATGGGTGAGAGTGGTAACCCCTTCTAACCGCGTTCGAAATACAGCCCTTCAGCAGACGGCGTTGATTTTAAAGCATGTGTCTCCTGTCTTCTAGTATGTCCAAAATACTAAAATGCGCCGGCAATGAAGATATCATTACACTAAGGGCCGAAGATAACGCGGATACCTTGGCGCTAGTATTTGAAGCACCAAGTAAGTCGTACCTTTTTACCGAGTCACGAAGCTACAGAAAATCAAAACTCTGTGTCAGTATTTCTCAAAAGCATCTGCTTTCTTTTGGTAGACCAGGAGAAAGTTTCAGACTATGAAATGAAGTTGATGGATTTAGATGTTGAACAACTTGGAATTCCAGTGAGTATCAGTTTCTCATTGTAGAGAGTGCTGTACACAGGCACGATAGTTATGTCATAGAATGTTTGTTTATTTTTACAGACAGGGTCTTGGCTCTGTTGCCCAGGCTGGAGTGCAGTAGTGCCATATAGCTCTCTCTAACCTGGGATTCCTGGGCTCAAGCAGTCCTCTTGCCTTAGTCTCCTAAGTGGCTAGGAAGGACTACGGGCCTGTCCCACCACACCTGGCTAATTTTTTCATTTTTGTGTGTGGGCGTGGGGGCAGTCTTGCCCAGGCTGGTCTGGAACTCCTGGCCTCAAGTGATCCTCCTCCGTCAAGATATGTTAATATAATTTAAGCCTACTTCATAACAACTTTTTCTAGAAATATATCTACTGGTGCATGTTTCAAAGAGAGATTTTAGTATTTGGATAGTTGTTCACCACAAGTCTAAAACTCACAGGTTAAATTTATTGTTTACTGCCAGTTGTCTATTTGCATTAACTTCCATGAACCTCTTTTAAAATTTGTTTCCTTCTAGAATGCTTGCTTTTTATTAAGTGGATTTTAAAGCTGACTTGGAAGAAATTTATCCAGGTTAGGTTTATAAACACCAAAGGAGAGAAGAAATGTTTGAATGTTGAAAATGCCTAATATATTCTCTTGCTTTCTTTTAGAAAGTAGTTAGGCCTGCTTGCGCCATCATGATTTCTGTGCCATACTCTAATGTTCTCTTACTTTATCCCTGGAGGATGAGGAGGAGGAGGCTCTTGTTCCCTGGATGGTGCATTTAATAGCCATTTATTTTTTTGAGTGGAGTTTGTTAAGAAATTACGCAAGTCATATTTTAAAGTAATCAGAAAATATTGATTCTGAGTTGTTTAGGTGTTGCCTTTTAAGAAAGTGAGGGTGCCAAATCATTAAATTTCTAACAATTAACTTTTGGAAAATTTTTGTTCTTAATAGGAACAGGAGTACAGCTGTGTAGTAAAGATGCCTTCTGGTGAATTTGCACGTATATGCCGAGATCTCAGCCATATTGGAGATGCTGTTGTAATTTCCTGTGCAAAAGACGGAGTGAAATTTTCTGCAAGTGGAGAACTTGGAAATGGAAACATTAAATTGTCACAGACAAGTAATGTCGATAAAGAGGAGGAAGCTGTAAGTAGTTTTTAAGTAAAAAGAAAATAGTTTGAAGAGAATTATAATACTGCTTATTAGGTTAATTGCTAAAATTAAAAGTAGACAGAATTGGATCCCAAGTAATTTCTGAAAATTGAGATACTGTTGAAATCTGCGAATGATTTATAAGTGTCATCCAATTTAGAATTATATTTGCAAGAAGGGAATACAAATTCAGCACGTGTACATACCACAGAACAGTGGTTTATGGATCAAGTCCACACCGGCTCTTAAGGGTAGGATTGGGAAGTTAGGCGTATAACCTTTAGCTTTCTGGAGATACTTACTCTCTTACCAAATAATTGAGCATAGGACAGCAGCTCAATAGAAGGATATGGTTAGGAGTAAAAGTCTACCTGTTTGGAGCACTTATGTAATCCTAATATTAGCTTACATGTTGTGGGTCCAATTGGTAGCCCATTTTAAAGGTGGAGAAGCAGGCTGAGCAACCTTAAGTGACAATTTAGCCAAAGTCACAGGCTGTAGGAATCAAAGGTTAAACAGGAAGGAGACTTCTCACTAAGGCTAGAAAGCAGACTCCATGCAACTTTGAGAGTACCTAGAGAGCCCTTGTTTAACCAAAATAGAAAGAACATGGCAAAACCCCATCTCTACTAAAAATATAAAAATTAGCCGGGTGTGGTGGCGCACACCTGTAATCCCAGCTACTTGGAATGCTGAGATGGGAGAATGACTTGAACCGAGGAGGCGGAGGTTGCAGTGAGCCCAGATCATGCCACTCCCCTCCAGCCTGGGTGACAGAGCAAGATTCCATCTTAAACAAACAAAAAAAACTCGCTAACCTGGGCATAAATTAAAACTTTGTAAATCAAGGACAAAGGTCCTAACCTCATAACCTTGTTAGGATTAAATACGGTAGCATTAAAGAGCTTAGCATATGCTGTGTGTGGCATATTATAAGCTTACAATAAATACTATATATTGCTCTCTTGTCCCTTGAATGGGTAGTCAACATTTAGTTTAAATAAAGGTAAAATTCAGTTGAAAGGTTTTTTTTTAAATTAATAAAGTCTAGGAGCTGATTCTTTATCTGTTTCCTGAATCACATTTCCACTCCTGCCAACCTCGTTTTTTTCTTTTTCTGTTTTTCTTTGTTTTTGAGACAGGGTCTTGCTCTGTCCACCCAGGCTGGAGTGCGGTGGTGCAGTCGGTTCACTACAGCCTCAAACTCCAGGGCTTAAGTGATCCTCCTGCCTCAGTTTCCCAAGTAGCCGGGACTACAGGTGTGTGCCAACACACCTAGCCTGGTTTCCCCTAATTTCATTTTCCCCCTTCCATTACAATCTATTTGTTGAAGAAATTAGATCATTTATTAAGTTTTCCAGAGTTTGGATTTTGCTGATTGCATTCCTGTGTATACATAAATTCCTCTACCCTGTGTGTCCTACAGACTGGTAGCTATAGCCCTGGAGCCTTGATATTCAGGGTGTTTTGTTTCGGGGGTGAGAGAGCAAGAATATAGGTGGTGGTGTGTGCCTCTAGTAGGAGGCACAGGGTGTCTGGATGTGTTTGCAATGTTAGCAGCTATAATAGTCATTGTCTAGATCCATTAAGTCATTAATTAGAGTTTGCAGAGCTGAAATTAATACGTTTTATTCACTTATTGGCTGCTTATTAGAAAAACTTCCATAAAGAAAAGCTTTCCCATATTATATAATTTGGTTATCTAAATTATAGCTATAGGAAAGACAAGCTAGATAATCGAGTCTTTTGCTTTATGTATCAGTCTTCAAAATTTTCATAGCTCCCTCCAAAGTGACCAATACAAGTGTTTGTGGGTTTTTATAAATATATAATGAGCTAATAGATTGCAACTTTCTTGATGTTTTTCAATGATGAATCTTTTGTTTTGTAGGTTACCATAGAGATGAATGAACCAGTTCAACTAACTTTTGCACTGAGGTACCTGAACTTCTTTACAAAAGCCACTCCACTCTCTTCAACGGTGACACTCAGTATGTCTGCAGATGTACCCCTTGGTAAGATAATAAATTTGAACCTTGTTTTGTAGGTAGTCATATGTGATACATACTCCTCAGTAATTAACCATCTTCCTGTCTTTCAGTTGTAGAGTATAAAATTGCGGATATGGGACACTTAAAATACTACTTGGCTCCCAAGATCGAGGATGAAGAAGGATCTTAGGCATTCTTAAAATTCAAGAAAATAAAACTAAGCTCTTTGAGAACTGCTTCTAAGATGCCAGCATATACTGAAGTCTTTTCTGTCACCAAATTTGTACCTCTAAGTACATATGTAGATATTGTTTTCTGTAAATAACCTATTTTTTTCTCTATTCTCTGCAATTTGTTTAAAGAATAAAGTCCAAAGTCAGATCTGGTCTAGTTAACCTAGAAGTATTTTTGTCTCTTAGAAATACTTGTGATTTTTATAATACAAAAGGGTCTTGACTCTAAATGCAGTTTTAAGAATTGTTTTTGAATTTAAATAAAGTTACTTGAATTTCAAACATCACAGGGCAGTGTCTTCATTTTGACCAGGACTGTTGGAAGTATCCTACTGAATTCCCAGCTACAGCTACCCTTTCGTTTAAATGGTTTTTCAGTTTAGAGCAGCCTGATGGAGATCAAAAGGATTTCAAATACAGTAGGTTACTAGATATTTTAGGGGATTCACTTGTCAAACTTGTTATTCCAATTTGAGCTCAAGGAACAAGTGAGAGAGTAGTACAAATCCTGTGTATTTCATTTTACTTGGCAAAAATTAATACTCTTCAGAAGCTTAATGTACCGAAAGTCGTGTGGGCTTTATAAGATGTTAATGGAGTGTTTCTTTTTAGCCTGGGGAATCTTACAAGAGTCTTGGATGTTTCAGTAGAGCTGTAATGGGGCCCAAGGAGTATGGTTGTACAAAATTTCTCTAGTATAAGTACACTTTGCAACTTCACTCAAAGGATGAAGATGTCTTAAATTCCACGGATGTTGGATCCAACCAAGAAAGTGAAAAAGCCCTGAAGTTGTGAAGAAAGACTTAAAAACATTCCCACTAATAGCTACAAGTTCACTGTGTGCTGTGTATTAAGAATTTTTTGCCAGGCACGGTGCCTCACACCTGTAATCCCAGCACTTTGGGAGGTAGGCGGATCAACTAAAGTCAGGAGTTCGAGACCAGCCTGGTCAACATGGTGAAACCCCATTTCTACTAAAAATGCAAAAAAAAAATTAGCCAGGCATGGTGGCACATGCCTGTAGTCCCAGCTACTTGGGAGGCTGAGGCAGAAGAATCACTTAAACCCAGGAGGTGGAGGTTGCAGTGAGCCAAGATCATGCCACTGCACTCCAGCCTGGTCAACAGAGTGAGACTCCATCTCAAAAAAAATTATTGGCTGGTTTAATAGTAGTAGGTTATCAGAACTTACTAACATTAGTATCACTAAAGTAGGTATACAACCCCTGCTGCTCAATTTGGCTTTAGAAAAAACATTTTTAAAAACTGCTTTATCATAATCCTTTTTTCCAGTGCATTTTTGTGTTTGGTAGATTAAATGACTGATTTCTTTCTTAAATTACTTGGACTGAGTTCTAGTTACTGGACATGAGAATTAACCATGTCCAGTAGTAAGTTCATTTTCCTACAGTGTGCCTGTGAGTGGAGAAGGAAATAGGCTGCAAAAGAGCCCGATGGAACTTTGGGGTGATGGATATATTTCCATCTAGATTGGTGATGGTTCTAGGACCGTATGTATTTTCAGAGCTCATCTATTTGTACTTGTGTATAAATACTTCAATAAACCTAACTTTTTAAAAAGCTTCATTTGCCGCAAAATGTCCCTTGTGGGCAGGCCTTTTACCTGGACAAGCCCTAAAGATAAGCACAAGTTTGTGGGGCTATTCAAGGGAAGTATAGTGGGGTGCTGACAGCACAGACAAGTGTGCTATTCAAGGGAAGTGTGGTAGTGGGGTGTTGACGGCGCGCGCCCATGGAAGGCTGGCGCCTTGCAGCGGATATCTGGCCGCTCTGACTGCTGGTCCTGAGGCTCGACGGACTCGGCTTCTGCCTCCCTGGGAAGCCACGGCGGTCTCTAGCCTGGCCCCTGTACTGAGGAGGGGAGAAACCACGTAGCCGGCTTGCCCTGGACCTGACTGTGACCCAGGTAGGTGAGGACCCTAGGTGCTCGCCCGCCACAGCGGAGGTAGCCGGCGGCAGGCACAGGTCGCGGCTGCTTAAACAAAACCCACGAAGAAGCATTCGGGCCGTGCAGCCCCGGAGTCCCGGTGCCTCCTGCAGGTGACACTCGGTAAGGGTTAGCCCGGGAAGCTGGGTAAAGAGACAAACGCTTCCGGAGACGCAACTTCCGACGCGCCTGTTTCCGGCACGCCACTTCCGGCGCACTGATCCCGCCTGGGGCCGGCTGAGTGGCACTTAAGCGGGCCATGCCATGCAACCTTGGGCGCTGCCAACCGTGGGCGAGCTCTGGGTGTGCGGGCGGCCTGGCGCGGCGCTCCGGTAAGGCGTGTGTGCGGCAGGGCGGGGACAGAACCGTCCTCTCGGGCTCTGGGCGTGTCCGAGACCGCGCTCCCCGCCGAAATCAAGCTCCGAGTCATCCGTGTGGGGCATTCGTCCCCCCTGGCACAGTTGGCCTCTTTCCAGAAGCCCGTTTTGTTTGTTTTACGTCTAAATTCGCGTCGGTTCTTATTTCTCTCCCTGGCAAGGTCTGAAGACGGGTAGGAGAATAACGTATGTAGAGGCGCGTAATGCCAGGCACTGTGTGCCAAACGTTTTATGATGCTTTTAGAACTCTCGTAACATTCAGGTGCTGAGGGAGTTTGGGGGTAGCGGTGAGCTGGTAAAAAGCCTGTTGGCAACGAAGACTGATACTTTGAAAATGCTCGTTTTTATTTTTCCCGTCTTTTAGAATCCTCTTTGCCAAGAGTAAACATTCGTCTCCCCTCTCCCTCACGCCCCTGCGATGTATTGTTTTGATGCGGATGTATGAACAGTTAATGTCAGGGGACGTACTTTAAAAAAAAGTCTAATTGCAAGTTAGATGTGGTTAAATGCCCTCAAAAACCACACATACTGGTAGTTTGAACTTTGTTTTATAGAATTAAATGCAGCCGGGATCACAACACTAAAAACCTACTATTTGACACAGTTTGATCCAATCTTTTTTGAAAAGTATAGAGATTAACATTATGCTAATTTTTAAATACTTGATTTCTAGACCAGGATGTAATCAATAAAAACGGATATTAATATTTAGCACCAATTATTTAATTATGCTAGTTATTTTACATTGACTGCAAGCCACGTAAAACAGTTAGGCCGGGCGCGCTGGCTCACGCCTGTAATCCCAGCACTTTGGGAGGCCGAGGCGGACGGATCAAAAGGTCAGGAGTTTGAGACCAGCCTGGCCAATATGGTGAAGCCCGTCTCTACTAAAAATAGAAAAATTAGCCGGGCGTGGTAGCAGGCTCCTGTAGTCCCAGCCACTTGGGAGGCAGATGCAGGAGAATCGTTTGAACCCTGGAGGCGGAGGTTGCAGTGAGCTGAGATCGGGTCCCTAAACTCTAGCCTGGGTGACAGAGCGAGACTCCGTCTCAAAAAAAAGAAAACACCAAAAAAAAAGAAAAACAATTTGTTATTTTTTGGAATTAGGTATGTACAAAGTACTTAGAACAGCTGGCATCTAACAAAGACTAGGTAAGTACTAACCACCATTATTGTGATGATGATAATGATGAATTTTAAAAATGCCATCCCAGAGAAAAACTAGTCCTTTTTTTATGTTGCCCTTATGCCCTTATTGAAATACTGAATTTTTTTTTTTTTTTTTTTTTTTTTTTTTTTTTTTTTTTTAGATGGAGTCTAGTTCTGTCGCCCAGGCTGGAGCCCAGTGGTGTGATCTCAGCTCACTGCAATCTCCACCTCCTGGCTTCAAGCGATTCTTCTGCTTCAGCCTCCCGAGTAGGTGGGACTACAGGCACCCACCACCATGCCCGGCTAATTTTTGTATTTCTAGTAGAGACAGGGTTTCCCCATATTGGCCAGGCTGGTCTCGAACTCCTGACCTTGTGATCCATCTGCCTTGGCCTCCCAAAGTGCTAGGATTACAGGTGTGAGCCACTGCGCCTGGTCAGTTTTGTCTTTTTTAAAGATATGTTTTTGAATTTAGAATTTAAAAACCCTGACTAAAATATATTTACCCATTTTGATCATATAGCTTTGTTACTTTATGGAGGAAAAGTGGACAAATTAAAAAAAAAATTTTCTTTTTTTTTTTTTGACTCAGGGTCTCATTCTGTCGCCCAGGCTGGAGTGCAGTGGTGCAGTCTCGGCTCACTGTAACCTCCGTCTCCCAGGCTCAAGCTATTCTCGTGCCTCAGCCTTCCAAATAGCTGGGATTACAGGTGTGTGCCACTGCACCTGGCTAATTTTTGTAGTTTTAGTAGAAATGGGGTTTCACCATGTTGGCCAAGCTGGTCTCGAATTCCTGACCTCAGGTAACCCACCCACCTCAGCCTCCCAAAGTTCTGGGATTACAGGCGTGAGCTATCACGCCCGGCCTATTAATACAAATGGTCTTAATTTAAATGTTATGATTTTTCAAACTTACCCACTGTCTCTTAAACTAGTGACATAATAGCCATGATTTCATTACTGCTGTCTGCTTTGAATATTTTGAACAAGAAGCCAGGTTGTTATTCCATTTTTTTCTTTCTTTCTTTAAAATTTTTTGTAAGATATTATACCATATTCCGTTTCTTAAGGTTGGTACAGAAGTAATTAGGAAAATGAAATCACTACTTTCAGTGCTTGGGATGGGACAGAGAGGTGGGCGCTTCTGGAGGCACTAGTATAGCCAGGCCTGTATCCAAATTTACAAGGGGCCCGGCACAGTGGCCTGTAATCCCAGCACTTTGGAAGGCTGAGTTGGGCAGAACACTTGAGGTCAGAAGTTCGAGACCAGCCTGGCCAACGTGGTAAAACCCCATCTCTACTAAAAATGCAAAAATTAGCCAGGCGTGGTGGCACACGCCTGTAATCCCAGCTACTCAGGAGGCTGAGGCAGGAGGATTGCTTGAACCCAGGAGGCAGAGGCAGCAGTGAATGGAGATTGCGCCACTGCACTCCATCCTGGACAGCAAAGTGAGACTATCGCAAAGAAAAAAAAAAAAACTGAGTTCAAGACCAGCCCGGCCACCATGGTGAAAACCAGTTCGTTACTTAAAAAATACAAAAATTAACTAGGCATGGTGGTGCATGGCTATAATCCCAACTACTCGGGAGGCTGAGGCAGGAGAATCGTTTGAACCTGGGAGGCGGTGGTTGTAGTGAGCTGAGATCAACCCACTGCACTCTAGCCTGTGTGACAAAGCAAGACACCGTCTCCAAAAAATACAAACAAACAACAACAACAAAAAAACCCCACAAATTTACGGCAAGAAACTTTACAGATCTTTTGCATTAAAAGGTTGATCTCTATCAAGGGGAAATAGGCAAAATGCTGATGTGAGTGTATTCCATTCTCTGCCCTCTTCTCCCTCCCTGTCAAACAAGAGAATCATTTGAGTATATGCTCCTCTTGCTTTTTCTTAAGAGCGGGAGCAGGGGACAGGCAATGCTGTGGTGTCAGGTGGACCTAGATTTAAGTCCCCATTATTCTACCTAGTCTCTATGTGACTTTGGAAAAATTAAAAGTCAGGGAATCTTGGTGGCAAAATAAACTGGAATGTGATTCTTGGTGAGTGTCTTCACTGTCATTCTACAAGGACAGACCAGACTAGATATTTAATACATAGTGAGAATCTTTTCACTGTGTCAGAGGCATATCTGGTTTTCCATATGCATATGCCTCTGACACAATGAAAATTTAGCAGTGAAGTGTAAATTGCCCATTGCTAGTCTGACATGGCAGCCCAGAACTCCAGTGCACAGCATCTAATAATCCTGAACTCATTGGCTATAATGCACCATTGTCATCTACAGACAATAACGGGTTTTTTGTTTTTAAACTGTAGCTGTGTCAGCGTGTTATGATGCCGTCCCGTACCAACCTGGCTACTGGAATCCCCAGTAGTAAAGTGAAATATTCAAGGCTCTCCAGCACAGACGATGGCTACATTGACCTTCAGGTAAATGCAGAAGAGAACTGACAAGACTGACTGGCTGTGTTTCTGTTAAGTTAGCAGGAAGACCTTCCAGATGGAGATTTTGCTAACTGTCCTTGGGGATTAGAAGGAGCAACAAGAAGAAAACTCAGCTCTGAGACCCTTTCAGCCATAATCGCAGAAGAGGGCCGTGGCAGGGTAGTTTCAAACCAATTCCAGTATTGTCCATTTCTAAGAATTTTTAGTTGTAATGCGAGAGCCTTGTAGTTACAGGTTTTATTTACTTTATTCAGAAACTAATCAGATTGTGTTTTGTTAAGTGGAGTTTTTTGTTGTTGTTTCTTTTTTTAAGGAACTTTAAAATTTTTGTTAGGTGGAATTTTTTTTATCACTGTTTATTTACACTTTAGTCAAAGCCCGTTCACCTTTTAAGGGAGAAACTTATTACTAAAGCCAGCAGATTGTGGGAATCTTCCTTCTTTCCTGATGTCATGAGATCCAATTTATTAAAGGTATTCTTTGTGATAAATAGTAAGTAAAACACAGTATTTATTAAGTTTGTATCCTACCCTAACCATTTATAAACTAGTCAATACTACAGCATCTCCTTTTGCACACTTCCCCTTACAATAGAATGTTCTACGTGGAACTAGGGCCAACGAGGAAGTAGCAGGAAACCATCCTTTATAAATAAATAAATTACTCTTTGGACCCACATTTGAAGGAGAGATAAAAATAGATCTGGAAAGATCTGGGAAGCTTCCAGCCACTTAGGTCAGATACAACGATGAGCCAAACCTTGGAAAATTTGTCTCTGAATCTTAACCTTGAATTGAATTTGTTCATAAGGCAGGTTTACTTGCTATGTGGAACAAACAACTAATCATTTGGAATAAGCTGAAATTGCCTTCTTTTCCTTTTTTTTTTTTTTTTTTGGAGACGGAGTTTTAGTCTTGTTTCCCAGGCTGGAGTGCAGTGGCACAACCTCGGCTCACTGCAACCTCTGCCTCCCAGGTTCAAGCGATTCTCCTGCCTCAGCCTCCCAAGTAGCTGGGATTACGGGCATGCGCCACCACGCCCAGCTAATTTTGTATTTTTAGTAGAGACAGTGTTTCTCCATGTTGGTCAGGCTGGTCTTGAACTCCTGACCTCAGGTGATCATCCTGCCTCGGCCTCGCAAAGTGCTGGGATTATAGGCGTGAGCCACCTTGCCCAGCCTCTTGTTTTGTTTTGTTTTGTTTTTAAGATGTAGTCTTGCTCTGTTGCCCAGGCTGGACTGCAGTGGTGCAATCCTGGCTCACTGCAACCTCCCCCTCCTGGTTCAAGTGATTCTTGTACCTCAGCCTCCCTAGTAGCTGGGGGATTACAGGCATGCACCACCATGCCTGGCCAATTTTCGTATTTTTAGTATAGATGGGGTTTCGCCATGTTGGCCAGGCTGGTCTCGAACTCTTAACCTCCAGTGATTCACCCACTTCGGCCTCCCAAAGCGCTGGAATTACAGGCGTGAGTCACCGCGCCCAGCCTTTTTTTTTTTTTTTTGAGACAGGGTCTTGCTCTTTTGCCCAGGCTTGGGTACAGTGGCACAATCAAGACTCACTGTAACCTTGACCTTCTGGGCTCAAGTAGTCTTTTCACCTCAGCCTCCTGAATAGCTGGGACCACAAGCATGTGCCACCACACCCAGCTAATTTTAAAATTTTTTGTAGAGACAGGATCTCTTAAATCCCCATAAGTTAGTACAGCCATCTATGTGCCAGGCAGTTAATAAATATATATCTAACAAATGAATGACTGTAAAGTCATTTCTGTTTTTGTTTTAAAGAAAAGTTTCTTATGATACAATGAATGATTTATGGAATGAGATTCGAACTAGAGTGAATGACATTCCTCTGAGATTCCTTTGAGTAACTGTGAGAGCAATAACTAGAGCTTCATCTCTTGCCAGTCCCTTTTATTTCTCAGAGCTGCACTGGGTGGTAGGACATACTTAAGACACATAAAGTATCTAGTTTGGTTCTTAATTACCCTCCTGTTTTTGCTGTTGTTGTATTTGAAACAGGCTCTGGCTCTGTCACCCAGGCTGGAGTGCAGTGGTGCAATCTCAGCTCGCTGCCTCTTCACCTCCTGGGCTCAAGCCATCCTCCCAGCTTAGCGTCCCAAGTAGCCGGGACTGCAGGCACATGCCACCACGCCCGGCTAATTTTTGTATTTTTTGTAGAGACGAGGTTTCACCATGTTGCTCAGGCTGGTCTCAAACTCCTGAACTCAAGTGATCCGCCTGCCTCAGCCTCCCACATTGCTGGGATTACAGGTGCGAGCTCTCCTCCCTGTTTTAAAGTGTTTGAGACTGGGCTTGATGGCTTATACCTGTAATCCCAGCACTTTGGGAGGCAGAGGTGGAAGGACTCCCTTGAGCCCAGGAGTTGGAGACCACCCTGGGCAACATAGTGAGACCTCGTCTCTACAGAAAAATTTAAAAATTAGCTGGGCATGGTGACGTATACTTGTAGTCCCAGCTACTTGAGAGGATGAGGCAAGAGAATTGCTTGAGCCCAGGAGTTCGAGGCTGCAATGAGCTGTAATTGCACCACTGCACTCCAGCCTGGGTGATAGAGCAAGACTCCGTCTCTAAAATCATAAAAATTAGGCCGGGCGCGGTGGCTCACGCCTGTAATGCCAGCACTTTGGGAGGCCGAGGCGGGCGGATCACCTGAGGTCAGGAGTTCAAGCCCAGCCAGGTCAACAAGGTGAAACCCTGTCTCTACTAAAAATACCAAAAAAATTAGCTGGGTGTAGTGGCGGGCACCTGTAACCCCAGCTGCTCAGGAGGCTGAGACAGGAGAATCACTTGAATCCAGGAGGCAGAGGTTGCAGTGAGCCAAGATCACGCCATTGCTCTCTAGCCTGGGCAACAAGAACGAAACTCCATCTCAAAACAAACAAACAAAAACATAAAAATTACAAATAATTAATTAAATGTTTGAACCCAGGTATTTGCATTAATGTTCTTCGTTGTCTTTTTCATCTCTATTTCTCTTCCAGTTTAAGAAAACCCCTCCTAAGATCCCTTATAAGGCCATCGCACTTGCCACTGTGCTGTTTTTGATTGGCGCCTTTCTCATTATTATAGGCTCCCTCCTGCTGTCAGGCTACATCAGCAAAGGGGTAAGCTGACGGGCATGTGGGAATAAGTTGTGAGATTTTTAAAATGTTAGCCAAGGCTCTAGTGTGCGTGTGTGTGTGTGTGTGTGTGTGTGTGTGTGTGTGTGTGTGTTTGTCCGTCCCAGTGGTCTGTTTTTTTTGAGACAGGGTCTTGCTCTGTCATCCAAGCTAGAGTGCAGTGGCACAACCTTTACCTCCCTGGGCTCAAGCGATCCTCTCACCTCAGCCTCCCGAGTAGCTGGGACTACACGTGTGTGCCACCACACCCAGCTAATTTTATTTTTTATTTACTTATTTTTGTTTGTTTTATTTTGTGTAGAGACAGGGTTTCACTATGTTGCCCAGGCTGATCTCTAACTCCTGAGGTCAAGCAGTCTGCCTGCCTCAGCCTTCCAAAGTGCTGGGATTGCAGGTGTGAACCATTGCCCCTGGCCAATTTTTTTTCCAATTTTTATGGGTACATAGTAGGTGTATATACTTAGGGGATACATGAGGTATTTTGATACAGCCATGCATTCATAATAATCACATCAGGCTAAATGGGGTATCCATCCCCTCAAGCATTCATCATTTGTATTACATTCCAATTATACTTTTATTTATTTATTTATTTTGAGACAGAGTCAGGCTGGAGTGCAGTGGCATAATATCGGCTAACTGCAACCTCCGCCTCCCAGGTTCATGCTATTCTTGTGCCTCAGCCTCCCGAGTAGCTGGAATTACAGACGTGCGCCACCGCACCCGGCTAATGTTGGTATTTTTAGTAGAGATGGGGTTTCGCCATGTTGCCCAGGCTGGCCTCCCAAAGTGTTGGGATTACAGGCATGAACCACTGTGCCTGGCCTATTTTTAGTTATATATATACATATACACATACATACATACATACATATATATATATTTTGGAGACAGAGTCTTGTTCTGTCACCCAGGCTGGAGTGCAGTGGCAGGATCTCAGCTCACTGCAAACTCCGGCTCGTGGGTTCAAGTGATTCTCCTGCCTCAGCCTCCTGAGTTAGCTGGGACTATGGTGGCAAGCCAGCACACTTGGCTTATTTTTGTATTTTTAGTAGAGATGGGTTTTTGCCATGTTGGCCAGGCTGGTCATGAACTCCTGACCTCAAGCGGCCTGCCCGCGTGGGCCTCCTAAAGTGCTGGGATTACAGGCGTGAGCTACCACGTCCAGCCTTAGTTATTATATTTTTAAATGTACAATAAATTATTCTCTAGTCACTTTGTGCTATCAAATACTAGAGCTTATTCATTCTATGTAACTATATTTTGTACCCGTTAACCTTCCCCATTCCCCCCTACCTTTCCCAGCCTTTGGTAACCATCATTCTACAATATCCATGAGTTCAATTGTTTTAATTTTTAGTTCCCGCAAATGAGTGAGAACATGGAAAGTGTGTCTTTCTGTGCCTGGCTTAATTTCACTTAACATAACGTTCTCCAGTTTCATCCATGTTGTTGCAAGTGACAGGATCTCATTCTTTTTAGTGGCTGAATAGTACTCCATTGCATATATGTACCATATTTTCTTTATTCACTTGTCTGTTGAAGAACACTTTGGTTGCTTCCAGATCTTGGCTGTTGTGAATAGTGCTGTCATAAATATGGAAGTGCAGATACCTCTTTGATAAACTGATTTCCTTTCTTTTGGGTATATACCTAGCTGTGATTGCTGGATCATATGGTAGTTCTATTTCATACTGTTCTCCATAGTGGCTATACTAATTTACATTCCCATCAACATTGTACGAGGGTTCCCTTTTCTCCACGTCCTCGCTAGCATTCGTTATTGCCGTTTTTTTTGGATAAAAGCCATTTTGGCTGGGTGCAGTGGCTCACGCCTGTAGTCCCAGCACTTTTGGAGGCCGAGGCAGGAGGATCACTTGAGCCCAGGAGTTCGAGACCAGCCTGCGCAACATAGCGAGACCTTGTGTCTATATTTTTTAAAAAGCCATTTTAACTAGGATGAGATGATATCTCATTGTAGTCTTGATTTGCATTTCTTTGATCAATGATGTTAAGCACCTTTTCATATACCTATTTGCCATTTGTATGTCTTCTTTTGAGAAATGCCCATTTTTGATTGGATTATTAGATTTTTTTTCCTACAGAGTTTGAGCTCCTTATATATTCTGGTTATTAATTCCTTGTCAGATGGATACTTTGCATATATTTTTTCCCATTCTGTGGGTTGTCTCTTCCTTTGCTGTACAGAAGCTTTTTAACCGGATGTGATCTCATTTATCTGTTTTTGTTTTGGTTGCTTGTGCTTTTGGGGGCATTACTCAAGAAATCTTTGCCCAGTCCAGCATCCTGGAGAGTTTCCCCCATGTTTTCTTATAGTAGTTTCATAGTTTTAGGTCTTACATTTAAGTGTTTAATCCATTCTCATTTGATTTTTGTATATGTCAAGAGATTTGAGGGGTCTAGTTTCATTCTTCAGCATATGGATATCCAGTTTTCCTAATACCATTTATTGAAAAGACTGGTTCTTTCCCCAGTGTATGTTTTTTTGTTTTTTGGTTTTTTTGTTTGTTTTTTTTTTTTTGAGACAGAATCTCACTGTGTCATCCAGGCTGGAGTGCAGTGGCACCATCTCGGCTCACTGCAACCTCAGCCTCCCAAATAACTGGGACCACAGGCATGTGCCACCACACTTGGTTAATTTTTTTTTCATTTTTTGTATAGATGAGGTTTTGCCGTGTTGCCCAGGCTGATCTCGAACTCCTAGACTCAAGCAGTCCAGGAGTACAGTGGTGTGATCACAGCTCTCTGCAACCTCAATCTTCAGGGCTCAGTCGATCCTCCCACCTCAGCTTCCCAAGTAGCTGGAGTTACAGGTGTGAGTCACCATACCTAGCTAATTTTTTTGTTTGTTTGGTAGAGATGAGATCTCATTATGTTGCCCAGGCTGGTCTTAAACTCCTAGGCTCAAGCAATCCTCCTGCCTCAGCCTCCCAAAGTGCTGGAATTACAGGCTTTAGCCACTGCACCCCTCTGACTATGTTTCCCGTTGTGTGTTAATTATGGTCAGTGTGAGGCCCACCCTAGCCTCCCAAAGTACTGGGATTACAGGCGTGAGCCACCACACCCGGTGGATGTAGAATTTTATCAAATGCTTTTCTAGCATCGATTGAAATAATCATATGGTTTTTGTCCTTCATTCTGCTGATACGATTTTATCACATTGATTGGTTTGTATAAGTTGAACCATCCTTGCCTCTCTGGGATAAATCCCACTTGGTCCTGATGAATGATCTTTTTAATGTATTGTTGAATTCAGTTTGCTAGTATTATCCTCCTTATTGAGGATTTTTGCATCAATGTTCATCAGGGATATTGGCCTATTTTTGTTTTTTCGATGTGTCTTTGCCTAGTTTTGGTATCAGGGTAAAACTGGCCTAGTAGAATCAGTTTGGAAGTATTCTCTCCATGTCTGTTCAGAATAGTTTCAGTAGGATTAGTATTCTTTTTTTTTTTTTTTTTTTTTGAGACAGGGTCTCATCTGTCATGCAGGTGTAGTGCAGTGGTGCGATCTCAGCTCACTGCAACCTTTGCCTCCCCGGCTTATGTGATCCTGCCACCTCAGCCTCACTAGCAACTGGGACCACAGGCATATACCACCATGCCCATCTAATTTTTGTATTTTTTGTCAAGACAGGATTTTACCATGTTGACCAGGCTGGTCTTGAAATCCTGAGCTCAAGCGATCTGCCTGCCTTGGCCTCCCAAAGTGCTGGGATTACAGGAGTGAACCACCATGCCCAGCCAAGTATTAATTCTTTAACTGGTATAATTCAGCAGCGAAACCATCTAGTCCCAGGCTTCTCTCTGCTAAGAGACTTTTTATTATGGCCTTAATCTCATTACTCTTTGTCTATTCAGGTTTTAGATTTTTTTCATTGTTCAATCTTTGTTTTTATATTCATGTCTGGTACAGCAGATTCCAGCAGAAAAACCAAAAAGATTTTCTTTTACATTTTGTTCTCTGTTGGCAAAACATGTTTTTCTTCCTTTGAGCAACAGTAAACTTCCATAGTTCCTATAGGGGAGGTGGTGGCAGGTAGGCAAACTTGGCCTCTGAGATATTAGACAGTTTGCCCTGTCATAGTTTGGAACAACATGGCTGAGCCTGGCATACAGGAGTCCTGATTGGTAAAGGGCTGTAGCTGGAGCAGCATGCTGTCATTGTAGCTGTGCAGTGCCATGGACATACTGTCAGTATTTGGAGAGAAATAGCAATTCTGTTATATGTGTGGGGTCACTGTGCCTCGTAAGTCAGTTCCTTCTTACAGTAGGTTTGGTTGGAGTTCCTGTTGAGCTTCAATATGAAACCTTAGAAACCTAAAGTAGTTGGTGGTTCTTTCTCATGGGCTGTCCCCACATACACAGTGTCCAAGTTGTCTTGAACCAATTCTGACTATAATTAACACACAACAGGGAACACAGCCAGCCAGGTGCAGTGGCTCAAGCCTATAATTCTAGCATTTTGGGAGGCTGAGGCAGGAGGATTGCTTGAGCCCCAGAGTTCGAGACCAGCCTGGGCAACATAGCGAGACCTCATCTCTACCAAACAAACAAATGTACAAAATGAGCCAGGTATGGTGACTGACACCTGTAACTCCAGCTACTTGGAGGCTGAGGTGGGAGGATCACTTGAGCCTGGGAAGTCGAGGTTGCAGTGAGCTGTAATCACACCACTGTACTCCAGCCCGAGCAACAGAGCAAGACTCTTACCTCAAAAAAAAAGAAAAAAGAGAAAGAAAAGAAAACCTGAAAGGCTGAGAAAAACACAGAGTTTATTGTAGTGGTATCTGTACAATTACAAAAGGTGAAAAACAACCAAAGTGTCCAGCAGCTGTATGTGGGGCAGTTAGGTAAAACTGTAGTATGTCCATTTCGGTGGAATGTTACACATCCTTACAGTTTAAATGTATGAAAAGGTTTTAATAATATTGGCCACAGGACACAGAGTATGGTGTGTTCACAACTAAGAGCTTTAAAAAAAGGAAAAGAAGCCAAAATATCTGGATGAGAATGGGTCATTTTTTTCTTTATAATTGTTAATATTTTGTAGTTTGTCTTCAATTTATAATCAGGAGGAAACCTTTTCCCTTGGTGGTATACAACTCAAAGAAAAAGTACTGAAGAGTATAAAATACTGATCTAAGGATTAGGTCTGTGACGTTTTATTTTAAAATGTGTAACTCTTACGGTACTAATGTGTTTGCCTCCTTCTGCCACCAGGGGGCAGACCGGGCCGTTCCAGTGCTGATCATTGGCATTCTGGTGTTCCTACCCGGATTTTACCACCTGCGCATCGCTTACTATGCATCCAAAGGCTACCGTGGTTACTCCTATGATGACATTCCAGACTTTGATGACTAGCACCCACCCCATAGCTGAGGAGGAGTCACAGTGGAACTGTCCCAGCTTTAAGATATCTAGCAGAAACTATAGCTGAGGACTAAGGAATTCTGCAGCTTGCAGATGTTTAAGAAAATAATGGCCAGATTTTTTGGGTCCTTCCCAAAGATGTTAAGTGAACCTACAGTTAGCTAATTAGGACAAGCTCTATTTTTCATCCCTGGGCCCTGACAAGTTTTTCCACAGGAATATGTATCATGGAAGAATAGAGGTTATTCTGTAATGGAAAAGTGTTGCCTGCCACCACCCTCTGTAGAGCTGAGCATTTCTTTTAAATAGTCTTCATTGCCAATTTGTTCTTGTAGCAAATGGAACAATGTGGTATGGCTAATTTCTTATTATTAAGTAATTTATTTTAAAAATATCTGAGTATATTATCCTGTACACTTATCCCTACCTTCATGTTCCAGTGGAAGACCTTAGTAAAATCAAAGATCAGTGAGTTCATCTGTAATATTTTTTTTACTTGCTTTCTTACTGACAGCAACCAGGAATTTTTTTATCCTGCAGAGCAAGTTTTCAAAATGTAAATACTTCCTCTGTTTAACAGTCCTTGGACCATTCTGATCCAGTTCACCAGTAGGTTGGACAGCATATAATTTGCATCATTTTGTCCCTTGTAAATCAAGATGTTCTGCAGATTATTCCTTTAACGGCCGGACTTTTGGCTGTTTCCTAATGAAACATGTAGTGGTTATTATTTAGAGTTTATAGCCGTATTGCTAGCACCTTGTAGTATGTCATCATTCTGCTCATGATTCCAAGGATCAGCCTGGATGCCTAGAGGACTAGATCACCTTAGTTTGATTCTATTTTTTAGCTTGCAAAAAGTGACTTATATTCCAAAGAAATTAAAATGTTGAAATCCAAATCCTAGAAATAAAATGAGTTAACTTCAAACATTTCAGAAAACATTTTAATGATTTTATGATATCTTTAATCCCAGTACCTAGATCTACCTTAGTTTCTAGGTAGCTGGCATTGTGGGTCACACTCAACTTTCCCTAACTCTGAGGTTATGGACTTGGGCAACTGGAAGCCTGGACATGCCATCAGCTGAGTTGCAAGGCTGTGGGAAGAGCAAGTTTTAGATGTCTACTCAATATCCAAGTGGAGCTGTTGAGGAGGCAGTTGCGATGCATGTGTGTGTCTAGAGTTTAAGAGTGGGTCTTGGATGGAAATAGAAATTTGGGAGTCAGCATTTGGACAGTATCTTAAAAGCTAGAGGGCTGTTTGAGATCACCAGTAGAGTGAGTATAGTTGGAGGAAAAAAAAAAAACTCAGGAAGTGAGGGACAAAGAGAGGGTGACCTGAAGCAGCCTCCAAGATTAGGGACTTTTGGTAATGGGAATGTTGACTGGGGAGTCCAGTAATCTAGAGTGCCTGAGCCTTGACAGTGAATATGTGAGGTGATACATAAAGCTTTATCTTGGAGAGTGGTTGCCGAGCAAAGCTCAGATCAGAAGGTTTTGGCCAACCAAATGATTTGGTTTTTTTATTTATTATTGATTGATTGATTTATTTATTTATTTATTTATTTATTTATTTATTTATTTATTTTGAGACAGAGTCTTGCTCTACTGCCCAGGCTGGAGTGCAGTGGCACAGTCATTTCTCACTGCAGCCTTGAATTCCTGGGCTCAAGTGATCTTCCCACCTTTGCCTCCCAAAGTGTTGGGATTATAGGCATGAGCTACTGAGCCTGGCCTATTTGGTCCTTTTTTAAAAAGTTGATGCTGCTGGTCAAAAAAATAAACAGAAGGGTATAAAGTGAAAAGTAAACATTTGGGCATGGAGTGGAGAGTGTACATTCACTCCAGCTTACCTCTCAAGATTTTCCAAATAAATTTCTTAATATACCCTTCCTGAAATGCTCTAAGCACATAAATATATATCTGGTTTTTAAAACTTGGGCTCCCATTGTATGGTTCTATAATTTCCCCCCCCCAATTCTATTTTGTATATCTTTCCATATCCATGGAGATCAGTCATATTCTTGTTAATGCACATTATAAGTGTAGTTTTTCATACTATGCATTTAGTAGTCATAGGATCAGAGCAGAAATCAACCAACTTCCTACCTGGGGTAGGAATCTCCTCCAGAGTCCCCTGAGGAATGACCTTTGCTGCTCTGTTTGAACATTCACACTTGTAATCTCATTCCAGCTGGCATTGTTACAGAAGTATCATTTATGAAGCCAAAATCAGACTCCCTGCAACTTCTGTGTTTTGACCATAGTTGTATTATTTGGTGTTTTATAGAAAAGACCTAAACCTCTACGGCCATACTACCCTGAATGCTCCCGACCTCATCTGATCTTGGAAGCTAATCCGGGTCAGGCCTGGTTAGTACTCGGACGGGAGAAAAGATCTAAACCTCCATAATAATGTTGAACATTTCTTGACCCCTTTGCCAGATATTCTGCCAAATACTTTCATTACATATCTCATTTTAATCCTTAGAAAAATCCTGAGTTAGCCGGGCACAGTGGCTCATGCCTGTAATCCCCGCACTTTGGGAGCCCGAGGCGGGCGGATCACCTGAGTTTGGGAGTTTGACCGTCCTGACCAACATGGAGAAACCCCATCTCTACTAAAAATACAAAATTAGTTGGGCGTGGTGACACATGCCTGTAATCCCAGCTACTTGGGAGGCTAAGGCAGGAGAATTGCTTGAACCCGGCAGGCTAAGGTTGCGGTGAGCCAAGATCGCACCACTGCACTCCAGCCTGGGCAACAAAGCCAGACTCCGTCTCAAAAAAAAAAAAAAAAAAAAAAAAAATCCTGAGTTAGATAAGATTCTTAGGTAGGAAGTAGGTGAGATATTTGGGATTAAAGCCTGGGCCTGGTACGGTGGCTCACGCCTGTAATCCCAGCACTTGGGAGGCCGAGGTGGGTGGATCACTTGAGGTCAGGAGTTCAAGATCAGCCTGGCCTAAAAATACAAAAATTAGCTGGGTGTGGTGGCGGGCACCTATATCCCAGCTACTCAGGAGGCTGAGGCAGGAGAATCACTTGAACCCGGGAGGTGGAGGTTGCAATGAGCCTAGATCACACCACTGCACTCCAGATGGTGACAGAGTGAGACTCCGTCTCAAAAAAATAATAAAACAAAAAAAAATTATAAGGCAAAGCCTGAATTCCCTTTACCAGATATGACAGCCAAATGCTTTTAGGTACTGGGCCAGTGAAGAAATGGGGGAGGTGGGTATGGACAGTAGAAGTAGTTGGGGAACCGTGGTCAGTTGTCAGATGTATATTTTACCTGAAAGTAACCTCCTCCCCACTCCAAAGTGTTGACCAGACTATATATCCTAACTTTTTTAAAGGATGTTCTTATTTGCAACAACTCTTATGCCTCCTGTTAGTCATTTCCAAGGCTAAAAACCCTCTCCAGTTGCTTCAGCTGTTCTGCATATGATGGAAATTTCAGATCCGTTGCCACTCTGGTGGGTCTCTTGGTTGAGCTTCACGTGGTCATACCAGAGGCACTTCTGTTCTGCCAGGAATTGTGAGGTGCTGGAGGTACAACAGGAAAATATAGGACTGGGGTAATGAGGAGCACAGGTTGCAAACTAGCAGCCACATGTTGGCCTGCGTTTGAGGATTTATTTTTTGAATTGTTCCATTTTATTTTCTGACCACCTATCCCCAAGTTCTTTTCGTTTCTAAAAAGGGAAATGTTCACATGATCTTGATTTGGGACTTGAAAAATCAGGTAGTCCTTCATTGCAGAGAGGCTCCAGCCAACTAAAGTAAGGTAGTACAAGTTTTAGCTGAGTAGCATTCTCCAGTTCACTAAAGTTTCCACCACTCTTTTATATCCAGCATGCTAATTTTCCTCACTAAGGGCAAAGACTGTGTTTTAAACCCTCCCACAAAGCCTAGCACAGTGCTTGTGGGCACTTAGGTTTATCAAATGAAGAGCTGGAATCGTGTGCATTTCCATCCCAGGACACCATGTTCCTTTGAGGTATGGATAGGTAGGCAAGTACCTACCTACATTTACGTCAGACTCCTAAATGGCCTTCCACCAGCTGCCTAGCAGGCCAGCTGCTCTTCACACAGTTGGTGCTGCCTGGTCAGTCATGCCTCTGCCTGGCACCCTCTGCCCAGGCCAAGGAGCCCAGTTCATGACCTACCTGTACCAGCTGGCACAGGAGAACCTCCTGCCACTGGTGTATGGTAAGGGAACCTGGTAGAAGGACAGTAACAGCACTGGCTTTCTGCTTACCTTTGAAGGGTCCTATACCAATCAATGCACCTTAGTTGCCTTGATTTTTCATTAAGTTCCTATCCTGAGGCTTCTCTCCTAGATTCAGTCCCATAGGCTCCTGGCCTCACAGGTATGTAGTTCAGTGATGGGGCCTCAGTTTCCTTCTAAAGTGGGGATAGAACAATTCCTACCTCACAAGGTGATTGTGAGGATTAAATAAAAACAGTTCCAGATGGTGGTTCACACAGCCTGGCACAAAGTAAGCTGCTGTTTGAGAAAGTAAAGAGGATCACTGCTTTGGCTTCAGGGAGCAGAGCCTGGGATGAGGCAGAGGTGGAGGGAAGAGAGACCATCTGTTACCCTGTTGCCATCTTGAACCTGCTGTTCCATGGCAGAACCACCCCAGAGCCAGCGGCAGGAGCGAGGGTTGATTGCCAGCCCAGGCAGGGCTCCTCTCCCTGACAGCTGCTGACGGAGGGTGTGAGGAGGTCTCAGGCCCCTGGCCCTTTACCAGCATGTGGCTGGGCCTGGAAGGCTGTGTGCTCCAATCCTCTGGAAAAAGTGAAAGGCCCTGCAGGGAAGTCCTTGAAGACAAGAGGTTTTAGATCTGGAGCATCATCAGATCGCCTCTCATGGAGCTTGTTTTTCCTCTATTTTTTCACCTCCCCTCAGTCTTGCTCCTTGCTATGCAAATGCAGTCTGGTCTGTGGACCGGCAGCATCAACATCACTTGGGAAATTTGAAATGCAGAATCTTGGGCTCCTCTCCTAAATCGGTATCTGCATTGTAGCAAGAGCCCTGTATGTCAAGAACCCTACCTGTTAGTTGCATGTCAGTGTCTGAGAAGCGCTGACTGATGGGGGCCCAGTTTCCCTCCTAGTCCATCTCCTCACCTTGAGACTGGACCTCCTCAGGCAGTGCCAATGGGTGGCCCTGGGTGTGGGGGCACTTAGAGGGTATAGTCTGTCCTCTTTGATCCACTATTATTCTCTAGCTAAGACAGTAACTCCCAAAGTCTGCAGAAGCTTCATAGAAATGGCAGAGAAACAATGCAGGAAGACTTTGTGAAGATCATTTTTTGTGATCAGTGAGAAATCGAGACAGGAGTCCCAAAGATGAGGAAGGTCGGTGGCAGGAGTGGAACATGCTTCGGTTCCCTGAAGGCTCAGGGAAGGGGACGATGTGTAATTTATGACCCAGTGAGAGGCAGGATAGGTTTTCTTTCGATTTCTGTGGGAGGCAGGCCTGGTGCCTCAGGAGTTTACTCCGAACACTGGAGGTGCTGGCTTGCCTCCATCCGTGGGTCTCTAATGCCTCCGTTCTTTCATTCCTCTCACTAACACAAGAAGAGCCAACTAGAAAATGCTCCAACCTGAGGGTTAAAGTTTCTTGGCTAAGATGCTAATCCTTCCAGAGGGTTTTCTCTAGAATTAATGTCTACAGAGTTTGCCCTGAGACCACCATCCACCGCGCTGCTTTTGCCCCACAGCTGAACTAATGGCAGCAGCAAAATCACCAGCACATCCTGGGAGGGTCTGTGGCCTGGTAGAGTTGAAGAAAAGCAGTGCCCCTTTGCCCGTAGTTGTGAGGAGATGACTTACATTAGGAAATAGGAGGTGACCATGAGGAACCTGGGCAGTAAGACCAGCTGTCCCTGTAGCTGTGATCAGAAAAGTGTAAGCCTTAGCTTACTGATGGCACTGGGCATGGTGGCGAGCAACTGTAGTCCTAACTACTTAGGAGGCCAAGGTGGGAGGATCCCTTGAGGCCAAGAGTTCGAGACCAGCCTGGGCAGCAGATGTACAAATTTTTTTTTTTTTTTTTTTTTTTTGAGATGGAGTCTAGCTCTGTCCCAGGCTGGAGTGCCGTGGCGGGATCTCAGCTCACTGCAACCTCTGCCTCACATGTTCAAGCTATTCTCCTACCTCAGCCTTCTGAGTAGTTGGGATTACAGGCACGTGCCACCACGCCTGACTAATTTTTGTATTTTTAGTAGAGATGGGGTTTTACCATGTTGTCCAGGCTGGTCTCAAACTGCTGACCTCGTGATCCTCCCGCCTCAGCCTCCCAAAGTACTGGGATTACAGGCGTGAGCCACCATGCCTGGCCAAAAATTTTTTTTTAAAAATTAGCCAGGTGTGGTGGTGTGTGTCTGTAATCCTGGCTACTCAGGAAGCTGAGATGGGATCAGTTGAGCCCAGGGTTTGAAGCTACAGTGACCTGTGATGGTCCACTGGACTCCAGCCTGGGCAACAGAGTGAGACCTTGTCACTTAAAAAGGCCAGGTACGGTGGCTCACGCCTGTAATCCCAGCACTTTGGGAGGCCGAGGCAGGCGGATCATGAGGTCAAAAGTTCGAGACCAGCCTGAGCACCATGGTGAAACGCCGTCTCAACTAAAAATACAAAAATTAGCCAGGTATGGTGGCACGTGCCTGTAATCCCAGCTACTCAGGAGGCTGAGGCAGGAGAATCGCTTGAACCCGGGAGGCAGAGGTTGCAGTGAGCCAAGCCAAGATTGTGCCACTGCACTCCAGCCTGGGCGACAGAGCGAGACTCCATCTCACAAAGGAAAAAGGGGAAAAAAAAAGCTCACTGATCGGATTTGTTGATCGCTCCAAGTTTCCCCTGTTTTGGGATATCAGAGTTATTTCTAAGTATTTTACATTTTATATAGCTTTGATAAATGGGACCTTTTAGGCTGGGTGCAGTGTCACATGCCTGTAATCCCAGCACTTTGGGAGGCCAAGGCAGTCACATCACTTGAAGCCAGGAGCTGAAGACCAGCCTGGCCAACATGGCAAACCCTGTGTCTCTACTAAAAATACAAAAATCAGCCAGGCATGGTGGTGTACTCCTGTAATCCCAGCTAGTCGGGTGGCTGAGGCATGAGAATCACTTGAACCCGGGAGGTGGAGGTTGCAGTGAGCCGAGATGGTGCCACTGCACTCCAGCCTGGGCGACAGAGCAAGACTCCATCTCTAAATAAATAAATAAATCAGGCGCAGTGGCTCATGCCTGTAACCCCAGCACGTTGGGAGGCTGAGGCAGGCAGATTGCGTGAGCCCAGGAGTTCAAGACCAGCCTGGGCAACATGGCAAAACCCCATCTCTACAAAAAAATTAGCCAGGTATGGTGGCATGTGCCTGTAGTCCCAGTTACTCAGGAGGCTGAGATGGGAGGATAGCTTGAGCCCAGGAGGTGGAGGTTGCAGTGAGCCAAAATTGCACCACTGCACTCCAGCCTGGGCGACATAGACCCTCTCTCTACAAAATAACAAAATTAAAATAAAATAGGAAATAAAATGGAGGTTTTCTTATTCTTTTTTTTCTTTGAATAGTTCTTCGTTAATGTATAGAAACACTACTGATTTTTATATGTTAACGTTTGTATCCTACAACTTTATTTAGTTCTAACAGGTTTTTGGTGGTGTCTTTAGGGTTTTCTATATATAAGATCAGCCATCTGTAAATAGAGACAGTTTTACTTCTTCATTTCCAATTTGGAGGCCTGTCATTTCTTTTTCTCACCTAATGCTCTGGCTAGGATTTCCATTACTATGTCAAATATAAGTGGTGAGAGTGGGGATCCTTGTCTTGTTCCTGGTGTTAGTGGAAGAGCTTTCAGTATGTTCACTGCGAATTTGTCATGCAAGGTAAATTCCAAGGTACATCAAAGTACATTCCTTCTATACCTAACTTGTTGAGAGTTTTTACCATGAAAGGATGTCAGATTTTCTCAAATGCTTTTCTGCATCTATTGAGATGATCATGTGATTTTTGCCTTTCATTCTCTCTCTCTCTCTTTTTTTTTTTTTTTTTGAGACGGAGTTTTGCTCTTGTTGCCCAGGCTGGAGTACAATGGTGCGATCTCAGCTCACTGCAACCTCTGCCTCCGGGTTCAAGCGATTCTCCTGCCTCAACCTCCCAAGTAGCTGGGATTACAGGCATGTGCCACCACCTGGGCTAATTTTGTATTTTTAATAGAGACAGGGTTTCTCCATGTTGGTCAGGCTGGTCATGAACTCCCGACCTCAGGTGATCCGCCTGCGTCGGCCTCCCAAAGTGCAGGGATTACAGGCGTGAGCCACCGTGCCTGGCCTGCCTTTCTCTTAACGTGTGTATTACATTTACTGATATGCATATGTAGAACCCGGAATGTCAGAAAATGCCAAGTATTTTCCCCATTTAATGGGGAGTGAAACCACAGTGAGACCAAAAGCGCCATGGACTGATGCTGGCCCAGGATCGAGGACTCCTCATTCTGAACATCGACTCAAGATGATCTTCCACTATATTTTTCTCCCTGGTGTTTTCATCTCCCCACCTCCAGCAAGGGACAAGAAACTAATCTCTCTCTTGTCAATCGTATCAGACCAGCAATAAAAGAAGTTCAGTATCTCAGTGTGTGGAGATTACGACTTTGCAATCTAGGAAAACAAAGGAGGCAGGCACAAAGTCTCGAAAGTCACATAGGGTGTTGGCAGAGTAAGCTCACGTTTATATACCAAGTCCCAGGTCACCAAAACTTGAAACTTGAGAGTACTTTGGGAACAAAAGTATCTCTTCATTAAAACAAATAAACATTAACCAAAAAAGTAGACCACAGAACTTTGAATGCAGCTCTGTCTTGATGTACTTAGGTTCTCCAAATGTCTTAACTATTTACAGTGTCAGCTTTAATCTAACCTTGGTTTTTATCTCCAGACTTTGACTTAACTTTGCATATCAAGTCACCTTGAATTTGACCTTTATGTTTATCCATGAATTATTTTGGGGGCATCTACTACGGACATAGCTTTGGTAGGTATCAAAAAGGAATCGTCCACCATGCCCATCCTCCAGAAGTTTGCAATATACTTATGTAGAAATAGATCCATATTTGAAATAACTGAACAAATATAATAAGTAATATTAATAAATGAGTACAGTCAGCCCATCATATCCTTGGGTTCCACATCTGTAGATTCAACCAACTGCAGATCAAAGATATTTGGGAGAAAAAAAACAACAAAAATAGCAATACCAGCTGGGTGCGGTGGCTCACACCTGTAATCCCAGCACTTTTGGAGGCCGAGGTGGGTGGATCACCTGAGGTCAGGAGTTCAAGACCAGTCTGACCAACGTGGTGAAACCCCATCTCTACTAAAAATACAAAAATTAGCCAGGTGTAGTGATGCATACCTGTAATCCCAGCTACTTGGAAGGCCAAGGCAGGAGAATCACTTGAACCGGGGAGGCAGAGGTTGCCGTGAGCCCATTGCACTCCAGCCTGGGCAACAAGGGCGAAGCTCCATCTCAAAAAAACAAAAAACAGTAAAACAGTAACAAAATAACAACAACAACAAAAATCCTTACAAAGAATAAAAAAATTAGCTGGGCTCTGTGACCCATACCTGTAGTCCCAGCTACTTGGGAGGCTGAAGTGGGAGGTTCGCTTGAGTCCACGAGTTCAAGGCGGCAGTGAGCCATGATCTCGCCACTGCACTTCAGCCTGGGTGACAGCGAGACCCTGCCTAAAAAAAAATTCAACAAGGCTTATCATGAAAATCAGTAGTTCTTGGCAACCCCTCTTTCCTTTCTCTCCAAGAGACAACCACCTTCAGTTCTTCCAGATGAATATTTTAGTATTAACTTTCATTTCCATGTGAAATATTTTTATTACCATTTCACAATTGTTCAGTATTAGGCCTTATCAATTGACTATATCTAGTGGTGCAGATTGGGCTGCTCTTTGGTCATCCTTCATCGCAGACACGTGCTTTCAGTCCCTCCATTTGTCCATATAATTGTGTCATTTTGGTTGGATCAATATTAATATTGATATTGCTAAGGATACACAAACGCTATTCATAGCTGAACCAGAACACTTAGTATGACTTCTTTTCCTTCTGACACAACTTTTAGTTTCTCATTGGAGTTAATAATCATGTTTATTTGCATGATTTTCTATGTATCTGTCTCTAGTTAAGCCCAAACTGACCCCATTTGTATATATCCCCTAGTCTCCCATCCGTTTCATCTGAAAGAACTCTCTCCATAAAGGAGGCTGCTGCCCTGTCCTCTTCCTGCCCATTGTCCCTCTGAGGGGAGGAAGTGACTGTAGTGCCTTCTGGCTTCCTGCGTGACTTCTGATTCTTGGTTCCTCCTTTGTCGTCATTTTTCTCTCTCGATGCTTGTAGAATTGTCTTCAGTGTTCTGAAATTTCACAATGCATGTCCTGCTGTTGGCCTATTTCTATTCAGCACCCATTACCCATTGTGCCAGGTGCTCTTGGCCCTTTCAGTCTGGAAACTCATGTCCTTTAGTGTTAGGGAATTTTCTGAAATTAATTTATTTGATAATTTATTTCACTCATACCTTGGTTTCCTATTTCTGGAATTTTTTCATTAGATGTCAGTCCTTTTCTATTTTTCATATTTTTGTCTCTTTTCCATATTTTGTCTTTTTGATCTCCTTTGTGGAAGATTTCCTCAGTTTTTTTCTTTCAACTCCTCTGTCATCTTTTCTTTTCTTTTCTTTTTTGAGATGGAGTCTTCTGCCACCCAGGGAGGAGTGCAGTGGCACGATAGCCCACTGCAACCTCCGCCCCCCAGGTTCAAGCGATTATCCTGCCTCAGCCTCCCAAGTAGCTGGGATTACAGGCACGTGCCACCATGCCTGGCTAATTTTTGTATTGTTTACTAGAGATGGGGTTTTGCCCTGTTGGCCAGGCTGGTCTCGAACTCCTGACCTCAGGTCTCGTCCTCCCAAAGTGCTGGATTACAGGCATGAGCCACTGTGCAGCCCTCTGTTATACTTTCCACTACTGTTTTTTGTTTTTGTTTTTCCTTTTTTAAGACAGAGTCTCACTCTGTTGCCCAGGCTGGAGTGCAGTGGGGCGATCTCAGCTCATTGCAGCCTTTGCCTCACAGGCTTAAGCAATTCTCCTGCCTAAGCCTCCCAAGTAGCTGGGATTACAAGCCTGTGCCACCACACCCAGATAATTTTTGTATTTTTAGTGGAGACGGGGTTTTGCCATGTTGATCAGGCTGGTCTCAAACTACTGGCCTCAAAGTGATCTTCCCACCACGGCCTCCCAAAGTGCTGGGATTACAGGCATGAGCCACTATACCCAGCCTTCTACTCTTCTGTTACTATTTTTTTCTTTTCTTTTTTTTTTTGGAACAGATTCTCGCTCTGTTGCCCAAGCTGGAATGCAGTGGGGTGATCTTGGCTCACTGCAACCCCCGCCTCCCAGGTTCAAGCGATTCTCCTGCCTCAGTCTCCCTAATAGCTGGGACTATAGGTGCGTGCCACCACGCCCGGCTAATTTTTTTGTATTTTTAGTAGAGACAGGGTTTCACCGTGTTAGCCAGGATGGTCTTGATCTTCTGACCTCGTGATCTGCCTGCTTCGGCCCTGCAAAGTGCTGGGATTGCAGGCGTGAGCCACCACACCCAGCTCTGTTACTTGCTATCATGGTTTTAATGTCCAAGGACCCTTTTTCACATTTTACAGCAATCAGTTTTTATTTCGTGACCATAACATTTTTATCTCAGTATATTATCAACATAAAATAGTCACTTATCAGCACAGCAGTCAGAGTGATCCCTTTAAAATCTATTATACTAAGTTCCCACCCACACTCAGATGAACTTGATGTCATTTAACAGTATCATTCCACCTGCTGCTTAGACTGCCTATCACCGTTGCCTCCTCTACAGTTATTAAACCTGGTTCTGGGTTGGGCATGGTGGCTCACGCCTGTAATATCAGCACTTTGGGAGGCTGAGGTGGGAGGATCTCTTGAGCTCAGGAGTTTGAAACCAGCCTGGGTAACATAGTGAGACCCCATCTACAAAAAAATTTTTTTTAATTAAGCCAGGCATGGTGGCATGTGCCAGTGGTCCCAGATACTCAGGGAGCTAAGATGGGAGGATCCTTGAGCCCAGGAGGTGGAGACTGCAGTCAGCTGTGATCATGCTACCGCACTCTAGCCAGGTGAGTGCAGTAGGCTCATGCCTATAATCCCAGCACTTTGGGAGGCTGAGGCAGGAGGATTAAAAAAACCACCTGATTGCTTCCCCATTGCCCACCCTTCTGCTGACCTAGCTGAGTTAGGAGACACGAACACAGCTTCATTTTTCAAATCTCTGTCTCCCGTGGAAAATGCTGGCTTTTTTTCCCTTTTAAGGGAGGTTGGTTTGAATTAATTGTGTTTGAAACCTTTTTTTTTTTTTTTTTTTTGAGACAGAGTCTCCCTCCGTTGCCCAGGCTGGAGTACAGTGGCACGACCTCGGCTCACTGCAAGCTCTGCCTCCCGGGTTCAAGCAATTCTCCTGTGTCAGCCTCCAGAGTAGCTGGGATTACAGGCATGCGCCACCACGCCAGGCTAGTTTTTGTATTTTTAGTAGAGATGGGGTTTCACCATGTTGGCCAGGCTGGTTTCAAACTCCTGACCTCAGGCAATCCGCCCACCTTGGCCTCCCAAAGTGCTGGGATTACAGGCGTGAGCCACCATGCTTGGCCTTGAAACTTTTTTTTTTTTTTTTAGGTATATCCTGGCTGGGTGTGGTGGCTCATGCCCGTAATCCCAGCACTTTGGGAGGCCACCGCGGGCAGATCACTTGAGGCCAGGAGTTTGAGACTCACCTGGCCAACATGTTGAAACCCCATCTCTACTACAAATATAAAAATTAGCCAGGCGTGGTGGTACACGCCTGTAATCCCAGCTACTCCACCGAATGCCTCTTCTCATCTTTACCCAAAGGAGCTTGTTTTTCTCTGGTGTCAGGAGTTGTGATATGGATTTCCTATTCTAATCTTCTAGTCCCAGGAAAAAAAAAAAAAAAAAAAAAAGCCATACTTTCTTTGGCCTATTTACCAGATTTAGGTGATAAGCTGAGAGTGAAGAGAAGGGCTGGACCCCCAGCTAGGGTAGGGGACAGGAAGCCAGGCTCTACCCAGGCCAGGGGAGAGGAGGTAGAGGTTGTAGATTGTACCACTGCATTCCAGCCTGTGAGACAGAATGAGACTCTGTCTCAAAAAAAAAAATATGTCCTCTTACTCCTTCCTTACTCCCATCCCCTACCTTAGCTGGGGGACCAGCCCTTCTCTTCACTCTCAGCTCATCATCTAAATCTGGAAAGCACCTGGAGTGTACAAAGCCTGGCAAAGACCTAGCAATGATCAGGTCCCAAAGTTTAAAACCCTGTGAGTAATTGATACTTTGGAGTGAAGGCTGGAAAGGAAGGTTGTTGTCTAGGAGGGAAACAGCTACATGTTGAAATCTGGACACAGCTGAGGCCGTGATGGTGTCTCTGTCTTCTAGGGTCAGTCTTGGGTTTTCCTGTCATCTTCCAGACTTTGAAAAATAATTGTTGGCCGGCCATGGCGGCTCATGCCTATAATCCCAGCACTTTGTGAGGCTGAGGCAGGAGGATTGCTTGCATCTGTGAGTTCGAGACCAGCCTGGGCAAAATAGCAAGACCTCATCTCTACAAAAAAATCAAAAATTAGCTGAGCATGGTGGTGCATGCCTGAAGTCCCAGCGACTTGGAAGGCTGAGGCGGGATGATTGCTTGAGCCTGGGAGGTCGAGGCTCCAATGAGCCATGGTCACACCACTGCACTCAGCCTGGGGGACAGAGTGGGACTCTGTGTCAAAAAAATAACTAAACAAATAAGAAATTAGCCAGGCGTGGCAGTGTGCATCTGTAGTCCCAGCTACTTGGGAGGCTGAGGTGGGAGGATTGCTTGAGGCTAGAAGGTTGAGGCTACAGTGAGTTGTGATTGTGCCACTGTACTCCACTCTGAGCAACAGAGCAAGACCCTACCTCAAAAAAAAAAAGATAAAAAGATAAATAATTGTTTATTTAAATATGGAATTATAGTAAGCAAAATATTAAAGACTCCATATTAACAATCTGTCATTGTATTCTTCCAGAAAAAAAAGCATATATAAAAATATATACAGATACTTTTTTTTCTTTTTCTTCTTTTTTTTTTTTTTTTTTTTGAGACAGAGTCTGGCTCTGTTGCCCAGGCTGGAGTGCAGTGGCGTGATCTCGTCTTACTGCAAGCTGCGCCTCCCGGGTTCATGCCATCCTCCAGCCTTAGCCTCCCAAGCAGCTGGGACTACAGGCGCACGCCACCACGCCTGGCTAATTTTTTGTATTTTTAGTAGAGATGGGGCTTCACCATGTTGGCCAGGCTGGTTTTGAACTCCTGACCTCAAGTGATCCACCCGCCTCAGCCTCCCAAAGTGCTGGGATTACAGGCGTGAGCCACCGTGGCTGGCCAATACTTTTTTTTTTTTTTTTTTTTAATAGAAATGAGGTCTCACTATGTTGCCCAGGCTGGTCTCAAACTCCTGCTCAAGTGATCCTCCCACCTTGGCCTCCCAAAGTGCTGGGATTACAGGCACGAGCCACCGCACCCAGCTGCATATTAAAACCCTTTTCATTGTGAACTATAATACATACATGGAAAAGCACATGAACCTAAATGTATAGCTTAAATTATAAAAGTGGAAGTTCAAGGATGTACTACCCAAGTCAAGAAGCATGACGTGGGCATCTGGACTGATGGAGCAGCCTGTGAGAGGAGCACCTGTGAGAGGTGACACGGCAGGTATGGCCTGACAACCACCTGCTTTCTTATGGCTAAGAGGTTGTAACACGAGGGGCCTTGGGAGAGGATGCAGGCAGGTGAGATATTGGAGAGTCCTTTATGTCATGGAAAAGAGCCTGGCCTCCCGTCCCCTACCCTAGCTGGGGGTCCAGCCCTTCTCTTCACTCTCAGCTCATCATCTAAATCTGGTAAATAAGCCCAAATAAAGTATGGCTTTTTTTTGTCTGGGACTACAAGATTAGAACAGGAAACCCATATCACAACTCCTGACACCAGAGAAAAACAGGCTCCTTTGGGTAAAGATGTAAAGAGGAACTTGGCTCATGAAAAGATTCAGGAAGCCAGGCGCAGTGGCTCACTGTAATCTCAGCACTTTGGGAGGCCGAGGCGAGCAGGTCACTTGAGGTGAGAAGTTTGAGACCAGCCTGGCCACCATGGTGAAACCCTGTCTCTACTAAACATACAAAAATTAGCAGGGCATGGTGGCGCATGCCTGTAATTCCAGCTACTCAGAAGGCTGAGGCATGAGAATTATTTGAATCCAGGAGGCAGAGGTTGCAGTGAGCTGAGATTGTGCCACTGCACTCCAGCCTGGGTGACAGAGTGAGACTCTGTCTCAAAAAAAAAGAAAAAAAGAAAAACAAAAAAAGATTCAGGAGCATGAAAAAAAAAATGGAACAGGAGAATTGGAGGAGAGTTGCTACCTGCAACAGGAGAAACTTGTACAAAAAGAAGGTTTGTACCTACGGTGAGATCAGAGAGGATGTTGTAGGTGGCAATCTGGAGTCCAAGAATACAGCCTTCAGATGAAATTCTGGATTCAGGGATAAACTTTCAGGTAACAGGATATTAGGTACAACCTTGTGTGTGAGTTAAAAAATGGAAATGAAGTGGACTTTTTAAAAATAAATGAAATGGACTATTTTAAAAATAAAATATAAATTACTAAAATTGACTCAGGAAGAAATAGAAAATTGGAATAAACCAGCTAACTCTGGAGGATGGGAAAAGAGTCACCAGAGATGTTATGTTGCATCAACAGTGGCCTGGATAAAGAAAACGTGGTACATATACAACGTGGAATATTATGGGGCCAGACGCAGTGGCTCACGCCTGTAATCCCAACACTTTGGGAGGCCGAGGCAGGCAGATTACCTGAGGTCAGGAGTTTGAGACTGGCCTGGCCAACATGGTGAAACCCCATCTCTACTAAAAATACAAAAATTAGCTGGCTGTGGTGGCACACGCCTGTAGTTCCAGCTACTCAGGAGGCTGAGGGAGAGAATCGCTTGAACCCAGGAAGCGGAGGTTGCAGTGAGCAGAGATTGCGCCACTGCACTCCAGCCTGGGCAACAGAGCAAGACTCCATCTCAAAAAACAATAATAATAAAAATTAAAATAGAAGACGGGCGCAGTGGCTCATGCCTGTAATCCCAGAACTTTGGGAGGCTGAGGTGGGTGGATCACGAGGTCAGGAGTTCAAGACCAGCCTGACCAATATGGTGAAACCCCGTCTCTACTAAAAATACAAAAATTAGCCAGGCGTGGTGGCGTACGCCTGTAGTCCCAGTTACTCAGGGGGCTGAGGCAGGAGAATCTCTTGAACCCAAGAGGTGGAGGTTGCAGTGAGCCGAGATTGTGCCACTACACTCCAGCCTGGGTGAGAGAGCAAGACTCCGTCTCAAAAAAAAAAAAAAATTAAAATAGAATATTATGCAGCCATAAAAAGAATAAGATCGTGTTCTTTGCAACAACACAGATGGACCCGAAGGCCATTATCCTAAATGAATTAACGCAGGAACAGAAAACCAAATACCACACATTCTCACTTATTACAAGCAGGAGCTAAACCTTCAGCACACGTGGGTACAAAGAAGGGAACAGTTGACACCGAGGCCTACTTGATGGTGGAGAGTGGGAGGAGGGTGAGGATCAAAAAACTACCTTTCAGGTACTATGCTCATTACCTGGGTGACGAAATAGTCAGTATACCAAACCCCCACGATACATAATTTACCCACGTAACAAACTTGCACATGTATTCCCTGAACCTAAAATAAAAGAGAGAGAAAAAGATCTTATGCCTCCAAATTTTCAGACCTAGTTGAACAATATTATGGAAATTTTCTACTAAACATTGAAGAAAGACTGTAGGTAATTTGGCATTCTAGAATCTAAAGCAAGAGAAAAGTTTAGAAGCAACACTGTCCATTTAACAAGCCTAGTAGAATGCTTATATCAAAGCCCATCCAAACGAATGTGTTAAGAAATGTACATGCCAACTTCATTTATAAATATTGATTTTAAGATTGTAAATAAATTATAATAAGATAAAACCAAGCTGTGGGTTAAAACAAATGGGCAAAGTCAAAGGTATATTAAGGAAATCTGTGTGTACTTGAGTGCCCTAATAGGTTGAAGGAGAAAAATCATATGACTCTCTTCTTGATAGAAGCCAAAAAACCATCAGACAAAATTCGACAGCTATTCCTGATTTAATAAAAAGGCATATTAAAACTCCCTAGCTGGGTCTTTCCTCTCAGAGGTCCCCACTCTCTCAATAGAGAGAGAGAACTGTTTTTCTTTCTCTTTCTTCTATTAAACCTCTGCTCCTAAAAAAAAAAAAAAAAAAAAAAAAATCTCCCTAACCAACTTCAAAAAGATGGGCCCTAACATCATCAAGTATATGAAGAATTAGGCCGGGTGCGGTGGCTCACGCCTGTAATCCCAGCACTTTGGGAAGCTGAGGCAGGCGGCTCATATGAGGTCAGGAGTTCGAGACCAGCATGGCCAATGTGGTGAAACCCCATCTCTACTAAAAATACAAAAATTAGCCAGTTGTGGTGGTGCACGCCTGTAATCCCAGCTACTCTTGAGGCTGAGGCAGGAGAATCGCTTGAACCCGGGAGGTGGAGGTTGCAATGAGCCGAGATCGCGCCATTGCACTACAGCCTGGGCGACAAGAGTGAAACTCCATCTGAAAAAGAAAAAAAAAAAAAAAACAATATGAAGAATTAATCACAAATGCCATAACTAATAATAAAATACCAAATACCTTCCCATTAAAATCAGAAACAAGGTAAAAATGCCCACTAACGTCTATCATTTTGATTGAACAAAGCCAAAGGAGGTATGAATGTCAATATACAGATAGCCTTGCAAGAAATAAGGGTTTCCTTAAGGCTGGGCATGGTGGCTCAAGTCTGTAATCCCAGCATTTTGGGAGGCCAAGGTGAGCGGATCACTTGAGAGTCAGGAGTTTGAGACCATCCTGGCCAACATGGTGAAACCCTGTCTCTACTAATGGTACAAAAATTAGCTGGGTGTGGTGGTGGGCACCTGTAATCCCAGCTACTCAGGAGGCTGAGATAGGGAGGATTGCTTGAGCCCAGGAGGTTGAGGTTGCAGTGAGCCTAGATCGTGCCACTGCATTCCAGCCTGGGCAACAGAGCAAGACTCTGTCTCAAAACAAACAAAAACTATGTAGTTATTTTTTAAAAAACTAAAAATACAAAAATTAGCCAGGCATGGTGGCATGCACCTGCAGTTCCAGCTACTTGGGAGGCTGAGGCAGGAGGATCACCTGAGCCTGGGAGGCAGAGGTTGCAGTGAGCCGGGATTATGCCTCTGCACTCCAGCCTGGGCAACAGAGCAAGACCCTGTCTCGAAAAAGAGAGAGAGAGAGAGAGAAAGAGAGAGAGAAACAAGGCTTTCCCATTTTCTTCTTCTTTTTAAAAAATTTCAGTGAATGGCTGGGCGTGGTGGCTCCCAGCACTTTGGGAGGCCGAGGCAGGTGGACCACCTGAGGTCAGCTATTTGAGACCAGCCTGGCCAACATGGCGAAACCACATCTCTGCTAAAAAAGAAAAAAAAAGACATAAAAATTAGCCAGGCGTGGTGGTGGGTGCCTGTAATCCCAGCTACCCGGGAGGCTGAGGCAGGAGAATTGCTTGAACCCGAGAGGCAGAGGTTGTAGTGAGCCGAGATTGCACCACTGCACTCCAGCCTGGGTGACACAGCAAGACTCTGTCTAAAAAAAAAAAAAAAAAAAGAAAAAAAAGAAAATCAGTGAATTTCAAACATGAGTGACCATTCTCCCAGGTGATGGAAATTTACTCCTCGTCATAATGAGAGTGTTCCCCTTTCTGACAGCAAGCAGGGAGGGCTGTCATTTAGTGTCAAGGCCTCCAGAAAGGAGGATCATCTGACTCTTGAGTGTCCACACTGGCTAAGATGTATTTTGTTTTGTCTAGGCTTTGGGTACTGGTGATACAGGTAGCTGTGGTTTTGTTCCCTGTTCTCAGCTATGAACATTCTTCTGATCTGTGTCTCTTAGCTCCTTCTGCACCCCATTTGGGCATGTGGGAGCTTTAGGTGGCGTGTGTGCCTACTTCGTGGGAGTGTTCAAGGTTCTTTGCTACCTTTGGGCTCCTTCTGGACACACATCAAATTGTTCTGCTGCTCCGCCGGGGTGCGTGAGAACCATGTGGGCTGCCAGACCCAGCTCCCCTGCTGTGCCCATAGCCTTTTCACTGTCTTGCCACTTCCCAGACTCTACTTAGAAAAAGGGCATGGGTCCCTTCCGATTCCAGCTTTCTGGCTTGTCAAGGATATCTCTTGTTCTCCTGCTGGCAGCTCGCCCCTTCCATCCCCCACCGCCCACTTACAGCAGTTTTTTGGGCTTCTAGGGGAGGGGATAAGATGCAGGGACACATCTCAGATTCAAACCCACATGCTTCTCTCTAATTCTCCTCTTTCTCTGCATCTAGAGACTTCTAGTTAAAGAAGCACTTATCAAACAATCTATGATGGAAGACCAGTTTTGTTTTATTTCCAATTGTCATGAATTAATCTTTTTGGCCTGTACACTGTTGAATGAAATGAGTCTGCCAATCATGCACTTGGATATTGTGACAACATCATATTGCTGTAACAGCTGCTAAATGTTTGTTCTCAATATCTGTACTTAACTCATCATGGACAGTAACAGACAGTTCATGGATCAGCAGGGGTCCAGGGGCCACAGTGTGTAACCTGGTATAGAGTGTCACTCGCCTCATCTGCTATTTCAAGTCTGAGAAAGATGGCTGGGTGCAGTGGCTCATGCCTACAATCCCAGCTTTGGGAGGCCAAGGTGAGTGGATCGCCTGAGGCCAGGAGTTCGAGACCAGCCTGGGCAACATGGTGAAAATTAGCCTGGCGTGGTGGCGCATGCCTGTAGACCCAGCTATTAAGGAGGCTGAGGCGGGAGAATCACTTGAATCCGGGAGGCAGAGGTTGTGGTGAGCCGAGATTGCGCCACTGCACTCCAGCTTGGGCAATAGACTGAGACTCCATTTCAAAAAAAAAAAAAGACAGAAAGACTTTAGAAACTAAAAATTTCAAGAACTTGACTTCCTTTTTCTACATTCTGCTGTGTCATTCCTTCCCTAAGCCAGTAGGCACTGAACACGCTAGCTGCTGCCAGGCTGGAGAGAAGCAGTCATGGGGTCACAGAAGACAGTAGAAATTAAATTGTATCAGTTAACACAGCAACTTTCAGTCTTGCTGTAGAAATGAGAAGTATGAAACTGGTACAAAAAGAAAAAGGAAAGAAACAAAGATGAGCAACTAATCATAATTTGTGAACACATTAATTGCAACTTACAAAAACCAAGAGGATTTTTCTTCTTTATTTTCCGGCGTCTACATTAAGGACACAGAGATTTTTTCAAAAAGCTGTTTGCACTAATAAGAGAGCTTAGCAGCAGGATAGATGATTACAAATAATATCAAAATTGAGAGAACTTCTACTCTACTAGAATAACATTTAGGAACATTGTCTCATTCACAATAACTATAAAACAAAATACTTGAAGATCAAATTAATAGAAAGTTACTGAAGATAGTAACCCAGCTTTTATTAGTTTTATAAAATAATCTTCTTAAGTATCTCAGTAAGATGTAATGATTTTTTTCAAACAAACAAAAACTATGCAGTTTTTTAAACTAAAAATACAAAAGTTAGCCAGGTATGGGGGTGCATACCTGTAGTCCCAGCTACTCGGGAAGCTGAGGCAGGAGGATCACCTCAGCCTGGGAGGCAGAGGTTGCAGTGAGCCAGGATCGCACCTCTGCACTCCAGCCTGGACAACAGAGCAAGACCCTGTCTCAAAAAAGAAAGGAGAGAGAGAAAATAAGGCTTTCCAATTTTTTTTTCTTCTTTTTTAAAAATTTCAGTGAATTTCAGTCGTGAGTGACCATTCTCCCAGGAGATGGAAAGATTATTTCATTACACTAGTAAAAGCTGGGTGCAGTGGCATGCACCTGTAGTCCCAGCTGAGGTGGGAAGATGACTTGAGCTCAGGAGTTGGAGGCTGTAGTGATCTATGATTGTGCCATTGCACTCCAGCCTCGGTGACAGAGCAAGCTGTCTCTAAAAACAAAACAAAAACCTAAAGTCTCAATATTATAAAGAAATGCAAATTCATCTACAAATGCAATTCCATTCTAATCAAAATCACATAGAAGGAGTGGGGGAATTCAACAAAGTGGTTCTGAAATCTATCTAGAAATAAAAGATTAATATAATAGCCAAGGAAAAGTCAAAGGGGAAACTTGAGAATACTTAACCTCTTTGATATTAAATGACATTACAAATCAGGCATGCTGTCTTGTGCCTGTAGTCCCGCTACTCAGAAGGCTGAGGCAGGAGGATTCCTTGAACCCAGGAGATCAAGGCCAGCCTGGGCAACATGGCAAGACCCTGTCTCTAAAACAATAAAATAAAATGGCATTATAAACCTACAGAAATTAAAACAGGGTGATTCTGCATAGGCATTGAAAGAAAAATCAATGGAACAGAAACACTATGCAAAAAGAGTCACAAATATCAGCAAAATTTTGTATGTGATAAATGGGCAATTAAAATCACCAGAGAAAGGATAGCTTGTTTAATAAATAGTGTTGGAATAACTAATTAACAAATGTAGGCTGGGCCCATTGGTGCATGCTTGTAGTCCCAGCTACTTGGAAGGCTGAGGCAGGAGGATTGCTCGAGGCCAGGAGGTTGAGGCTGCAGGGAACCATGATCACACCACTGCAGTCCAGCCTGGGCAACAGAGCAAGAGTCTGTGTCTCAAAAAAACACACCAAAAGACAAGTGGCCCAGTTCTGTGGGCTCATGTTTGGATTGAACTTCCTCATCTCTTAAAGGAGGGCGTCGCCACATGACTTGCCTTGGCGAGGAAATGTGAGTTCAAGCAATATGTGTCATTTCTGAGTAGCGGCTCTAACCGCCAGTTTCACTTTCCCTCTGCCACGGTCCTAGAGTGATCGTGATGCACAACAGAGCCCCGCGTTGACCCATAATGAACACAAAGTGCGAGAGTGAAGTACACCTTTGTTGTGTTAAGCCACTAGATTTGGGGGTTTCTGTCATGCAGCATATCCCAGCCTACCCTGGATGATACAGTCTCTATCTCATACTTCACACCTGTTAGAGGAAAAACAAGTCACCCCAGGAAATTAGAAACATGAATGATTAGCATTTGCTGGGAGTATCTGTGCTTCCAAAGAGGGTGATAGGGAGAAGCCATTGTTTATTCAACAGAGTGAAGGACCGGCTACATAACTTGTAACTTGTGGGGCCCAGTGCCAAATGAAAATGCGCAGTCCCTTGTTTAAAAACTGATTAAAAACTTCAAGAGGGTGACAGCAGAGCATTAAATCAAGCACAGAGTCCCTCTAAGCATGGGTCCCTGGGCGTCTACACAGGTCACACACCCAGGAAATCATGAAGCATCTTTGGCTGTGTCTAATTGACATGTCTGCATCCTCCCTTTTCTCCTGAGCCAGTTTCTACTGCTCTGCCTCAGATTATACTTCCATGGGGCAGTGAGGTTGATGTCTGTGTGTCATTCATGAAGTGTTGATACAAATATCACCTCAGTGAAGCTAAGCCCCCAGGCCCCATGCTACTTATCTCTGATCCTGATTCATTTTTCTCCTTAATACTCACTACCATCATAGTATATATTTCACAAATTTATCTTACTTACAAGTATTTCCCCTAGTAAGATGGAATCCACAAGGGCACAGATTTTTTTTTTTTTAGTTGAGTCTTGCTCTCTTGCCCAGGTTGGAGTGCGCTGTTGCAATCTCAGCTCACTGCAACCTCTGCCTCCCAGGTTCAAGTGATTCTCCTGCCTCAACTACCCAAGTAGCTGGGACTACAGGCGCCTGCCACCACACCCTGCTAATTTTTGTATTTTCAGTAGAGATGGAGTTTCACCATATTGGTCAAGCTGGTCTTGAACTCCTGACCTCAAGTGATCCACCCACCTCAGCCCCCCAAAGTGCTGGGATTACAGGTGTGCGCCACCATGCCCAGTTAATTTTTGTATTTTTAGTAGAGACGGGATTTTGCCATGTTGACCAGGCTGGTCTGGAACTCCTGACCTCAGGTGATCCACCCACCTCCCAAAATGTTGGGATTACAGGCGTCAGCCACCACACCAGGCCAAGGACCAGATTTTTGTCTATTTTGGTCACTGTGTAACCTCAACATTTAGGATAGCCTGTCAGATAGCTGGGACTCAGTAAATGTTTGGTTTTTGTTTTGTTTTGTTTTGTTTTTGAGACAGGGTCTTGCTCTGTTGCCTAGGCTGGAGTGCAGTGGCACAATCTCAGCTCACTGCAGCCTCTACTTTCCTGAGCTCAAATGACCCTCCCACCTCAGTTTCCCGAGTAGCTGGGACTACAGGCACATGCCACCATGTTCAGCTAATTTTGTTTGTTTTTTGTAGAGATGGGGTCTCACTATGTTGCCCAGGCTGATCTCGAACTCCTGGGCTCAAGCAATCCTCCTGCCTTGGCCTCTCAAAGTGCTGGGATTACAGGTGTGAGCCACTGCACTCTGCCAATATTTGTTGAAAGAATGTATGAATGAATTTAAAGAATATCAATTGACTGGGCATGGTGGCTCACACCTGTAATCCCAGCACTTTGAGAGGCCAAGGTGGGTGGATCACCTGAGGTCAGGAGTTCGAGTCTAGCCTGGCCAACATGGCGAAACCCCGTCTGTACTAAAAATACAAAAATTAGCCAGGTGTAGTGGCGCTTGCCTGTAATCCCAGCTACTCTGGAGGCTGAGGCAGGAGAATCGCTTGAACCCAGGAGGCAGAGGTTGCAGTGAGCCAAGACTGTACCACTGCACTCCAGCCTGGGCAACAAAGCAAGACTCTGTCTCAAAAAAAAAAAAAAAAAAAGAATATCAATCCAAGAATATAAACAGGCAAAGTATACACAGAGAATATACATAGATGCCTGTTACATAACAGACAAATACAAATTGGTGAGTCCATCCATTCAACGATATTTATTTATTTCATTTTATTTATTTTTTTGAGATAGAGTCTCACTTTCAGCCAGGCTGGAGTGCAGTGGCGCGCTCTCAGCTCACTGCAACCTCCACCTCATGGGTGCAAGTGATTCTCCTGCCTCAGCCTCCCGAGTAGCTGGGATTACAGGCGCCCGCCACCATGCCTGGGTAATTTTTTGTATTTTTAGTAGAGACGGGGTTTCGCCATGTTGGCCAGGATGGTCTCGAACTCCTGACCTCAGATGATCCGCCTGCCTTGGCCTCCCAAAGTGCTGGATTACAGGCGTGAGCTACCATGCCCAGCCAACAACATTTAATGCTTGCCTCTCAAGTCACTGCATCACATCATCCTCTGGGGCACAATAACAACCAGACCATAGAAAGTACCCTTAGGACACTTCCTGTCCAGTGAAGGACTTGGGTGCTTGAGCTATTGCTGCAATTTTTTTTTTTTTTAGACAGGGTCTTGCTCTGTTGCCCAGGTTGGAGTGCAGTGACACTATCTCAATTCACTGCAACCTCCACCTCCCAAGCTCAAGCGACCCTCCCACCTCAGCCCCACAAGTAGCTAGTACCACAGGTGCGCACCACCACGCCCAGCTAATTTTTGTATATATATTTTTGTAGAGACAGTGTTTTGCTATGTGGCCCAGGCTGGTCTCAAACTCCTGGACTCAAGTGATCTGCCTGCCTCGGCCTCCAAGTGTAAGCCACTAAACCTGGTCTCATTGTTAGAAACCTTGACAGCAATTGCAAAACATGATTTCATAGGATGTCATGAGGTTGGGCCCCTATAGGAAAAAGATTATTTTTATTTATTTATTATGATTATTATTTTTGAGGCGAAGTTTCTCTCTTTCGCCCAGGCTGGAGTGAAGTGGTGCGATCTCAGCTCACTGCAACTTCTGCCTCACGGGTTCAAGAGATTCTCCTGCTTCATCCTCCCGAGTAGCTGGGATTATAGGCGTGTGCCACCAAGCCCGGCTAATTTTTGTATTTTTAGTAGAGATGGGGTTTAACCATGTTGGCCAGGCTGGTCTCAAACTCCTGACTTCAGGTGATCCATCCACCCTCAGCCTCCCAAAGTGCTGGGATTATAGGCATGAGCCACCGCGCCTGGCCTCTTTTTAGTTTTATTTTATTCTTTTAAATCAGCTTTACTGGAGTACTATCTGTGTTCCATAAAATGTACCATTTTAGGCCGGGCGCGGTGGCTTACGCCTGTAATCCCAGCACTTTGGGAGGCCGAGACGGGTGGATCACCTAAGGTCAGGAGTTCGAGACCAGCCTGATCAACATAGAGAAACGCCATCTCTACTAAAAATACAAAATTAGCCAGGCCTGGTGGCGTATGCCTATAATCCCAGCTACTCAGGAGGCTGAGGCAGGAGAATCACTTGAACCCGGGAGGTAGAGGTTGCAGTGAGCCGAGATCGTGCCATTGCACTCCAGCCTGGGCAACAAGAGTGAAATTTTGTCTCAAAAAAAAAAAAAAAAGTACCACTTTAACTATACAGGTTGATGCACTTAGATAAATGTATATACCTACATTCTGTATGCCTTTTTTATTGTGGTAAAAAAACATATAACATTAAATTTATGGCTAGGTGTGGTGGTTTATGCCTATAATCCCAGCACTTTGGGAGGCCAAGGCGGAAGAATCGCTTGAGGCCAGGAGTTCAAAACAAACCTGGGCAGCATAGCAAGGCCTGTCTTTATTTTAAAAAGTAATAAAAATAAAATTTTTTTTAAAAGGCAATAAAATGTTTTCATTATTTTTATTTTTCTATAGAGACAGGATCTCACTATGTTGCCCAGGCTGGTCTCAAACTCCTTAGCTCAAGTGATTCGCCTGCCTTGGCCTCCCAAAGTGCAGGGATTACAAGCATGTACCACCATGCCCGGTCTCCTCTACTCTTAAATTCTATAGCTGGGCCTGAGAGTTAAACTGTCAAAAGACAGATTGACAGGAGGAAAGTTTTATTTTGTGTTTACACAGGGACTTCACAGAAAAGAAGTGAAACCTAAAGCAGTGGTTAGGCCTGAGAGTTTATATCATTTTAACAAAGGGTGACAAATTGTGGAGAGGTAACTAGACAAAGAAAAATGGGTTTGGGCTTCTAGGGGTTGTAAACTGTGGGAAAGTAAATATAAGGGGGAAACTATAGATAGGTTAGATAAGGGGTATCTAGTAAGGTTCATTTACGCAGATTCATCTTGGTACCATCTCCAGTGATAATGGTGATTAAGCGTTATTCTACTCTTCCTGGTAGGGAGAGAAAGACACCCTTACAAATGGAAATTTATGTTCTGCTTTTAGGCAGAAATGGGAGGGGCAGTGATATGGTTTGGATGTGTGCCCCCTTCAAATCTCATGTTGAAGTGTGATCCCCAGTGTTGGAGGAGGGGCCTGGTGGGAGGTGTTCGGGTCATGGGGGCAGATCCCCCATAAATGGCTTGGTGCCATCTCATGGTAATGAGTGAGCTCTTGCTCTGAGTTCAGGCAAGATCTGGTTGTGCAAAAGTGTGGCCCCTCCCCCGCCTTGCTTGTTCCCACCATGTGACATGCCTGCTCCTGCTTCACCTTCCACCATGAGTGGCAGCTCCCTGAGTCCTCACCAGAAGCTGAGCCCTGGCTGATGCCATGCTTCCTGTAGAGCTTGCAGAACTGTGAGCCAAATACACCTCTATTCTTTATAAATTCCCAGCTTCAGGTATTCCTGCAAACACAGTAACACAGGCAGAGAGTTCTTCCGGTGTCTGCTATTTCTTAATTGGCTTCAGCTCAAAATAATTCTTGTGCCAATGTGGCATATTTTGGGGTGGCATAATCTGATTCCCTTCAAGGAGGACAGTCTAAGAGTGAAAGGAAGAGAGAGGAAGCCGTTGTTCAGTCTCCCCCACTTTGTTGCATCAACTCCCACTACCCAAGCCTTAGGCTAGCCTTTGGGCTTTCCTATCTCTGGCGTCTGAGCTGGCACCTCACATCACTGCTCTTCATCCAGGGCCCAGGCAGCCTCGCCTGTACAGTCCCTGGTGCCAGGCCTCAGCCAGGCCCTGGCTCTGGTCCTGCCCTCCAGCAGCTCTGACCACACCCTGGAGTCCCAGCCAGTGGCACCAAGCCAGGATACACAGTGAAGTTCCCTCAGTGTGAGCCACCAAAGCCAAGCCCCAGGGCAGGAAAAATGCAGAACCTCCAGGCTGCTTCAACTAGGGCTCCCTGTGTCCACATTCTCTCTCATTGTCTTTGTGTGCCCCACCTTCAGAACCTTCCTGGTTCTTTCCCACACCTGTGACGTTCAGGAGAGTCTTTCTGGAGTTTTTGGAGCTGTTGTGTAAGCGCTGGGATTTTATATTTACCAGGGTGATAGTGTGGGAGGAAGAAAGTCCAGATCTCTTGCTTTGAAGAAGGATAACCCTGAGGCATAATTGACACCCCACAGCTTCCCAAGGGACAAGACTGAGACTGGAACCTCACATGAAATGCCACCCTAGCTCAGTTTTCTCCTTTTCCCTGACCTGCCTCCTTCATTCCCTTACTGTTTCCCCTGGAAGCACCTCCTTCATAATCTCTTGTACATGAATCCTCACTTCAGAGTCTATTTCTGGGGAATCCAGACTAAGTTACTGTGCTGTTTGGCTCCTGTTTCTCAAGTCATCAGTCTCCACAGAGAAGTTGGAACTGATCTTTTTTTTTTTTTTTTTTTTTTTTTTTGAGGTGGAGTCTCGCTCTGTCTTCCAGGCTGGAGTGCAATGGCGTGATCTCGGCTCACTGCAACCTCCGCCTCCCAGGTTCAAGCAATTCTCTTGCCTCAGCCTCCCGTGTAGCTGGGACTACATGTGCCGGCCATCACGCAAGTCTAATTTTTGTATTTTTAGTAGAGACAGGGTTTCACCATATTGGTCAGGCTGGTCTCGAACTCCCGACCTCAGGTGATCCGCCCACCTCAGCCTCCCAAAGTGCTGGGATTACAGGCGTGAGCCACCATGCCCGGCTGGAACTAGATCTTCAGGAAACTTCAAGTTCATGTTCTTATAGTCTCACGGCCAAAAAGGAAAAAAACACTCTTTCCTACCAGCTCCAGGTAGAAAGATGCCGGGGAGAGTTCTTCTTGGCCAACATGGGTGGCTATCCTTCCCTGGAACCATCACCATGGACAGGGAACTATGGTCCTGCAAACTCGCCAAGAACTACTTGATTCGAAAGGGGCTGAGTATGGAGGCTCATGCTTGTTTGTAATCCCAGCTACTGTGGAGGCTGAGGTGGGAAGATCGCTTGAGGCCAGGAGTTCAACACTAGCCTGGACCACACAGTGAGGCCCCATTTCTACAAAAAAATACAAAAATCAGCCAGGCATGGTGGTGCATGCCTATAGTCCTGGCTACTCAGCCGGCTGAGGTGGGAGGATCACCTGAACCTAGGAGGTCAAGGTTGCAGTGAGCCATGATGGTGCCACTGCACTCCAGCCTGGGCGACAGAGTGAGACCCTATCTTCAACAAAAACTCAAAAAAGGCTGGGCGCAGTGGCTCACACCTGTAATCTCAGCACTTTGGGAGGCTGAGGCAGGTGGATCACTTGAGGCCAGGCATTCAAGACCAGCTTGACCAACATGGTGAAACCCCATCTCTACTAAAAATACAAAAATTAGCTGGGTGTGGTGGCAGCGTGGTGGCACACACCTGTAATCGCAGCTACTTGGAGGCTGAGGCATGAGAATCACTTGAACCCAGGAGGCAGAAGTTGCAGTGAGCTGAGATCACACCACTACACTCCAGCCTGGGTGACAGAGTGAGACTGTCTCAAAAAATAAAAGAAGACATTTTTCTACGTCCTGTATATCTTTCTCTAAATGCACATATTAATGTCTGTATTCACCTTGCTATATACGTATCACTATAACTATAAATCTATGTACCCTTTTTGTTTTTTTTTTTTTTTGAGACGGAGTTTCGCTCTTGTTACCCAGGCTGGAGTGCAATGGCGCGATCTTGGCTCACTGCAACCTCCGCCGTCCGGGTTCAAGCGATTCTCCTGCCTTGGCCTCCCAAGTAGCTGGGATTACAGGCATCGCCACCATGCCTGACTAATTTTGTATTTTTAGTAGAGACGGGGTGTCTCCTTGTTGGCCAGGCTGGTCTCGAATTCCTGACCTGAGGTGATCTGCCTGCCTCGGCCTCCCAAAGTGCTGGGATTACAGGTGTGAGCCACCATGCCCGGCCAAATCTATGTACCCTTACATGCATATTCATGCTCCCATCTTTCTCCAGCTTCCCGTCCCTACACGTCCATTCCCAGTTCTGCATCTGTCTGTCTTTGAGTGTTCTTGATTGGCTCTGCCCTGCTTTAGGCCCCATATAGCCCAGTGATGCTGAGCTGAGGCATTCGCTAATAATTAGAATCAAAGGTATCCGCACTCCCAAGCTTTACCATCATTTCTGGTGCATCTAAGGACATGATCAGCTGACTCTTGAGTATTGAGTACCCTCGGACAACTACTCCATTGCCATTCACCTGGAAATGGGGCATTGTTCACTCCTAGAAAATAAGGAAAAATGAACAAGTAAACAGAAGATTCTATACATCTTCTGGGAAGCCAATTTCTTTTATTGTGCCACATTTGTTTCAGAGCAACCAAAAAAAAAGTTAATCAGGAGTGGTGCTGTGCTATTTGGGAGGCTGAGGTGAGAGGATCGCTTGAGTGCAACAGGTCAAGGCTATAGTGAGCCTTAATCGCACCGCTGTACTCCAGCCTGAGCAACAGTGAGATCTTGTCTCAAAAGCAAAATAAAGAACCAACCAACAAGCAAAATCTGCCAGGTTATTTGCAAAGGGTAAACAAAAATTCTTTTATGCAAATATTTGTTAGGTCTTCACCCTCTCAATAATTAAATACTGCTTTCACTTACACTTGAATTAGTGGAACCATTGTGGTGAAAGGAGGCCACCTGTCACCTACCACAGCCCTTTGCGCATCTGGATCAGGAATATGGCAGAGTAGGTCAGCTGGGCAGTGCTTTCTCACCAGTAAGACTCCTCGGTGATCAAGACAACTTCTTCCAGGTTCTCTTCCTGGCTTAGTCACTCTTCCGGTTATCTATTTCTGCATTACAAATGGCCCCAACACTTCATCACTGGACAATTGATTTTTGTGTCTTATGGTTCTGCGAGTTCACTGGGCTCAGCTCAGCAGTTTTCATGTGGGATCTCTTAGGTGATTGTTGTTAGATATTGGTTAGTGCTACAGTTAGCGCAAGACTCAACTGGATGCAAATACAAGATGGCTCATTTATGTGGCCGGTAGGTGATGCTAATTGTCTGCTGAGAACTCAGCTGGGACAATCAACTGGAGAGTTGATGCACGGCCTTTCCAGGTGGCTCAGGAGTCCACTTAGCATGGGGGCTGGGGTCTGAGAAGGAGTGTCTCGAGAGCAAAGTTCCAAGAGAGCTAGATGAGACCCGTAAGGCTTCTTAACTCCATGCCCGGGAAGACACAAGATGTCCCTTCCACTCTTAAGTCACTAAGGTCAGCCCCAATTCAAAGAAAAGGGAATTTGCTGGGCGCAGTGGCTCACACCTGTAATCCCAGCACTTTGGGAGGTCGAGGCAGGCAGATCACTTGAGGCCAGGAGTTCAAGACCAGTCTGGCCAACATGGTGAAACCCCGTCTCTCCTAAAAATACAAACATTAGCCAGATGTGGTGGTGCATGCATGTAATCCCAGCCACCTGGGTGGCTGAGGCACAAGAATCACTTGAACCCTGGAGGCGGAGGTTGCAGTGAGCCGAGATGGTGCCACTGCACTCCAGCCTAGGTAACAGAGGGAGACTGTCTCACAAAGGAAAAAGGAAAGGAAAAGGAAAGGGAAGGGAAGGGAAGGGGAGAGGAAAGAAAGGAAAGGGGAGAGGAAAGGAAAGGAAAGGGACTTAGACTCTACCCCTTGAAATGCATTGCAGCATTCATCTACGGGGAGGGAAGGAAATGTCGGTGTCTGCTCTCTTCAGAGGTAGTTTCCCTTGGTCACTCACTGAGTGACAGATCACAAACAACCATGCAGTGAACAAGTAGATCTTGAGCTCCTGCCTCACACAGGCCTTCAGGAAGTGTTGTGGAGCACCAAAATGCATAAGATGTGATTTCTTGACAATTAGGATTTTTTGAGGGTTGAAGAGGCAGAACTTGTGGTGGAATTGAGAAGGGGTGTTTCTTTCTCAGAGTCTCGAATCCACCTCACGGGAACAAAAGAAAGCTGACCACAAACATCTACCAGCATCCCGTGGGTACATGATGGGAGGCATCAGTGGGAGGAGTCCCGAAGGAGGACTCAGCTCAAGGCTTCCAGAAGGAAGAGGAACACAGGTGTCATCACCTGACTGAGGTTGGTGCCTCTAATTTGAGATAAGCATCTTAAAAGGGCTAAACTGAAAATGTCCTAGGAATAAGTACGTCAGCATGAAAATGACTGATTGTAAAATGCAGCAGAGAGCTTCTCCTACTAAGAGCAGGATATGTGGAGGGAATGTTCCATATGCCTAGAGGAGCAGGCCAAAGGAATTCCAGCTGCCCTCTACCCCCTATGCAACTCCTCTTGTGAATGGTGAGAATGGCGCAGACCACTCCCCATGGCCCCACCTCTGTTCCTGAGGGTAGGAGGATTCCTGTCCCCTTCATACCATCCTTGGTACTGAGAGCGATGCTGAAGAGACTGGGATGCTCATATTCTCACAAAGGGACTGCAGGGTGGTACAGATGGCTGGATGCCCAGTACTACATCCATTCTCCCCTTTTTCTTTAGTAATAGAACCACTGAACCTTAGCTGGATGAGTAATAAAACCGCTGGATAATCTTGGCCTAACATGGTGATATGATTTGGCTCTGTGTCCCCACCCGAATCTCACTTTGAATTGTAATCCCTGTAATTCCCATGTATCAAAGGAGGTACTAGGTGGAGGTAATTGGATCATGGGGTGGTTTCCCCCAAGCTGTTCTTGTGATAGTGAGTGACTCTCATGAGATCTGATGGTTTTATAAGCATCTGGCATTTCCCCTGCTTGCACTCACTCTGTCCTGGTGCGCTGTGAAGAAGGTGCCTGCTTCTCCTTTGCCTTCCACCATGATTGTAAGTTTCCTGAGGCCTCCCTGGCAATGCAGAACTGTGAGTCAATTAAACTTCTTTTCTTTATAAATTACCTAATCTCGGATATTTCTTCATAGCAGTGTGAGAACAGACTAATACGCACAGCCATTAATAGAAAAGCTACGTTTTCCAGCATGCCTTCTAACTAGGTATGGTCATGTGGCTAGGTTCTGACCAATGGAACACAGGTGGAAGTTGTTGGAGAAAACGCCTTAAAACGGGAACAGCTGCAATATCAGCTGCAAGACATTCTTTTACCTTTCCACCTGCCTGGGACCTGGATGTGGAACTGCAGTGTGCCTTGCAAACTTGAAGAGAACGACCTTGATAATGGATGGTGAAGCAAGAAAGAGGAGCCTGAGGCTGAGCGCAGTGACTCACACCTGTAATCCCAGCACTTTGGGAGGCTAAGGTGGGCAGATTGCTTGAGCCCAGGAATTTGAGACCAGCCTGGATAACGGTGAGACTCCATCTCTTGTCTCTACAAAAAAATTTTAAAAATAGCCAGGTCTGGTGGTGCATGCCTGTACTCCCAGCTACTCTGGAGGCTGAGGTGGGAGGATCACTTGAGCACAGGAGGCGGAGGTTGTAGTGAGTCATGACTGTGCCACTGTACTTCAGCCTGGGCAACAGAGTGAGACTCTGTCTTAAAAAAAAAAAAAAAGCAGAGGGGGGCTGGGTGGGGAGGCCGGGTGTGGTGGCTCATGCCTTAATCCCAGAACTTTGGGAGGTTGAGGTAGGTGGATCATGAGGTCGGGAGTTCGAGACCAGCCTGGCCAACATAGTGAAACCCTGCCTCTACTAAAAATACAAAAATTAGCCGGGTGTGGTGGCACGCACTTGTAGTCCCAGCTACTCGGGAGGCTGAGGCAGGAGAATCGCTTGAACCCAGGAGGTGGAGGTTGTGGTGAGCCAAGATGGCACCATTGCACTCCAGCCTGGGTGACAGAGCAAGACTGTCTTAAAATATATATATATATATATATATATATATATATATATATATATATATATATGAGCCTAAACACTGTTGACATTGTGGCATATTCATCTGCAGCGTGGTGGGCAGTTCCAGGACACCTGACATGTTCCCACTGCAGAAACCACACGGGTTTCTCCAGCACCACTGAGACTTGCTCAGCCTGTGTAGAGTAGCCTGGACATACTGGGGCTTTATTTTCCTGAGGACAACCCTCAACCAATGAGTGCCAGGAATCAGTGAGTAACTGCCCACCTGTTTTCCCCCCTCACCGGATAATTCTGAAGCATCTTTTACCCAGCTCTGCAGAGGATCCCTGCAGGACTGAGCCTGGTGCCCGCAGTGATCATCTGCACTTCAATGCACCTTTCCTTGGCTTTCCGCCCTGCGCCGTTTCTCACTTCTCCACTACTTGGAGTCCTTTCCAAAGAAACTATCCATACCTGAAATCTACTTTTACGTAAACCCAAGCTAAGACGGTGGAATATTGCTTCATTTTGAAGTCAGTGGGAGCAATTAAAAGCTTAAACAGGGGCTTGGATGTATGTGGATTGGCAGCTGAGGACCCCAGGGGTGGGGGCCAGAGACTGGAAACAGGTGAGTGAGGGGATGAACACCCTCCTGCCTGTGAGGGATGATGAGCATGAACCCGGGTCAGCGAAGTTCTGTCTGACCCAAGGGACAGTCAAGGTGTGACCTCGTTAATCACAGGTGTGAATAACCAGGAGGAGGGTCCTTGGGTATGTTTGGGGTTTTGATTTTTTTTTTTTTTTTTTTGAGACAGAGTCTCTCTCGCTCTATCGCCCAGGCTGGAGTGCAGTGGCACAATCTCACTGCAACCTCTGCCCCCCGGGTTCAAGCTATTCTCCTGCTTCAGCCTCCCAAGTAGCTGGGACTACAGGCATACGCCACCACACCCAGCTAATTTTTTTGTACTTTTAGTAGAAACGGGGTTTCACCATGTTGGCCAGGCTGGTCTCAAACTCCTGACTTCAGATGATCCTCACACCTCAGCCTCCCAAAGTGCTGGGATTACAGGCGTGAGCCACCGCGCCCAGGCAACATTTTTGTTTTTTAAAAAATGTTCTCTTTCCTCTGCTCCCTAGTTTTGC